>NW_015495300.1:0-230434 GCF_000001405.40 Homo sapiens | reverse complement strand
CTAACCCTAACCCTAACCCTAACCCTAACCCTAACCCTAACCCTAACCCTCCATGAGTAATATGCCTGTTATATTTAGGGTGTCATGTGTGCATTAGGAATGCTGCATTTGAGTTCTGACGCTGCACTTGAACCCTGCAATACAGCCCCTCGCCTTGCCTTGGGAGAATCTCGGTGCGCAGGATTCAGAGAGGCTTTTCGTTTCCCGCTTTCCACACTAAACCGTTCTAACTGGTCTCTGACCTTGATTATTCAGGGCAGCAAACAGGAAAGATTTTATTCACCGTCGATGCGGCCCCGAGTTATCCCAAAGGCAGGCAGTACCCCCAACGTCTGTGCTGAGAAGAATGCTGCTCCGCCTTTACGGTGCCCCCCACGTCTGTGCTGAACAGAACGCAGCTCCACCCTCGCAGTGCCCTCAGCCCGCCCGCCCGGGTCTGACCTGAGAAGAACTCTGCTCCGCCTTCGCAATACCCCCGAAGTCTGTGCAGAGGAGAACGCAGCTCCGCCCTCGCGATGCTCTCCAGGTGTGTGCTAAAGAGAACGCAACTCCGCCCTCGCAAAGGCGGCGCGCCGGCGCAGGCGCAGAGAGGCGCGGGGCGCCGGCGCAGGCGCAGAGAGGCGCGGGGCGCCGGCGCAGGCGCAGAGAGGCGCGGGGCGCCGGCGCAGGCGCAGAGAGGCGCGGGGCGCCGGCGCAGGCGCAGAGAGGCGCGGGGCGCCGGCGCAGGCGCAGAGAGGCGCGGCGCGCCGGCGCAGGCGCAGAGAGGCGCGGCGCGCCGGCGCAGGCGCAGAGAGGCGCGCCGCTGTTGGGGAGACGCGGCGCAGGGCGTAGACGCACGCCGGCGCCTCCCCGGAGGGGAGGGGTCGCTGAGCGGGCGGGAGTGAGGCGCGGCGCAGGCGCAGAGACGCACGTCGCTGGGCTGAGGGTGGCGGGGAGTGTTGCAGTCGCACAGTCGCGCGCCGCCGGGCGGGGAGCGCGGGGGTGGCGCGGTGCACGCGCAGAGACACACGTCCCCGGCGGCGCAGAGACGAGTGGAACCTGAGTAATCTGAAAAGCCCGTTTCGGGCGCCCCCTGCTTGCAGCCGGGCACTACAGGACCAGCTTGCCCACGGTGCTCTGCCATTGCGTCCCCTACTGGCGACTAGGACAACTGCAGGGCCCTCTTGCTTACAGTGCTGTCCAGCGCCCCCTGCTGGCGCCGGGGCACGGCAGGGCTCTCTTGCTCGCAGTATAGTGGTGGCACGCCGCCTGCTGGCAGCTAGGGACATTGCAGGGCCCTCTTCCTCACATTATAGTGGCAGCACACACGCCTGCTGGCAGCTGGGCACACTGCCGGGCCCTCTTGCTGCCATTGTCGTGGCTGCACGCCACATGCAGGCAGATGGGGACTACGCAGGGCCCTCTTGCTCCCGGCGTAACGGCTGGCGTCCCCTACTGGCCGCCTCCTGCACCACTTAAAGTCAGAGCGCCAGTTATTAATCCCCATCAGTTCTGCAAATTAAAACTGAAAAGGAGCTATTACTGCGGAGAGCTGATGTCCCAGTTATTAACTTGGAAGACAGCTTTTCACCAAGAGGCAGTACAAAGATGGAAGATAACTTCATTGAAAAGAAATACAGTGTAAAGAGCTTATTGTACAAAAATAGGGAGGAGTAGGCTGATAGTGCATGATAACAGCCTAAGAGTCCTGTGCAGGGATTTTTATTTTGGACTTCTTCACATTCCTGCCTCTGTCTCAAGTCTCCGCCTGTTTTCTTTGGTTTTCCTGCTACTGCCTTAGGTCCCCGACTTGCCCCACTTAGCCTTGTGGGACCTCCTCACTGTTGATTGAGGTACATGTGTGGTGATCAACCCGAATCCACTCTGGCACCAGCCTCCTTCCCGCCATACCAGGCAGGCTGACAGCGGTCACGTTTGTATCTACTGCAGCTGCCTCTTTTAAATGTCTTTCTCTGCCCTAATCTGTACTTATGGTGCCAGGTTTCTCTTAAGAATGTCCCCTTTCTCCTTCTTATCAGCATGTAGCTAGCAATATTCTGACATTTTTATTGCAGAGTGAATGAAGATTGGGGCATCTCAAGAGAAGTTCTAGGGTGTTTCTGCGTAGGTACCTCTTCTCCCTCCTAACCACAATTGACAAGTGCCCATCCACTCCAGCACTAGAGATGCTACTAATATATGCATTTTTGGTGGTCCCTCCACGTGAGCCTTCACAGACTTTCCCTTTTCCAGGAGCTCCCCCTCCTGTTCATGTCTAGCTAGCTATCTACTCTAACAGAGCCCACTATCCTGTGTCTTTCCCAAAAATAGTGAGGGAATGATTAATTGGAAACCATAAGAAATGATATGCATGTAGACGAAAACTTTACAACTTACACAAATAATCACTCAAAATCATCATTACACTAAAAATGCAAAACTATACAATTTCTAGAAGAAACTATAGAGGAAAAGCTATGTGCCTTTGCGTTTGGTAATGAATTTTAACAAATGACACAGAAGGTTGATATACACAGAAGAAATGACAATGTGGATTTCTTAATATTTACAGTTTATACTCTGGAAGAGACCTTGTTAAGAGAACAAAAAGACAAGCCACATATTGAAGAAAATATTTGCAAAATACAGATCTGAGAATTTGTATTCAAAATATATAAAAAATTGTTAAAACTAAACAATAAGTTAAACAGCCCAATTAAAAATGCACACAGATCTGAACAGACGCCTCATCAAAGAAGATCTACAGATGGCAAGTACACCTACAAAAAGATGCTCAACATACTAGAGAACTGAAAACCACAAAAAGATAGCACAGCTGGTCTATATCTCTTAGAACTCCTAAGCTCTTTAACAAATGACAAATTGCTGGAGGAAAAACAAGAACTCTTTTCATTGCCAGTAGAACACAGTGTATAAGACCAAACTATGCCACCCCAAAATATAATGGTAGGAAACCAGAATATGCAACCCCAAAATATGTCCCTTTGGCTTAAAAATTATTCCAAGCTAATTATTTTGAAAAAAAAAATGCTAACAAAGGAAGTTGTGAAAACAGAGTAAAAGTTACTTGTGTAAGGAAAATTTACACCTATAAAGGAAATCACCATTTAAAAGCTACCTCTCTCGACACCAAGAAGAGAAGGATAACTAAATCACTGAAGAGTCTTATCAATGGAGAATGCATGGACTTAACTCTGTATAACGAACCTTACCCCTGTCTAATGTGCTTTTGCTGGTTAACTTCCCACTACTGCACCTCAAATCTTCTTTCTTTAAGTTGAAGATAGTATTTATGCTTGAATTGAAAGCCACCTGTTGGAGATTTACTCATTTTTCCCTGAGTATATCCCATGTAACCATAAGATATACATGTTTTTAAACTTTTCTGTTTTTCTCATTTTAATCTGTCAGTTTTTACAGAGCGTTCCATCTAAGAATTCCAAAAACAGAAAATTATTTTTCCTCCCCTATTACAAGTTGGGCATTTTTTTCCAAAGCTAAACAAGTCTCACCTTACAATCCAAAAATAACATTCCTAAGGATTTTGACAACTACTTTGATGTTATTTCCCATCAAAAGCTACCATGCAGTTATTTACAGAAGCCCTATTCATAATGACCAAAGGAAAAAAAAGGAATCAGAAAGTCTTACAATAGATGACTGTGTGGGACTCCACTCAGACATCAAAAGTTGTTATAAAGATTATTTAAATGAAAACATTTGAGATACTGAAGATGAAGAAATCTTACCAGAACTTACTTTATCCAATTAAAGCAGAGCTCCCAGTAAAATACAGCTGCCATTAACCCCATCCAAGGAGTTTCTTGCAAATTCAGCTGCCATGAAGACAGCGTACTCTTTCGCATTAGCATTGATAAATGAAAATTAAATTCTAAGCTCCCAACTGACTGAACAGACCCACTCTTGGCTGAGGGGACCCCAGAGTAACTTTCAAAACTGAGTTCTCAGCTTTGCTAGGATGCGATGATGGGGTTAAGATACACATCGTTATACCCCCTCCTTTGCTAACCATGATGAGGCTTTCTTCCCTAAGGATTTAACAGAAACCAGCCCTTTCAAAGCCTCCACCACTGATATCAACCTCTCCTTTCTTGCCTGATAAGAGACCACCCACGATGGAGAGGTTCTGGCCAGCGTACAGAGGATGCACAGAGCGAGTTTTCATTTCCTCTGCTTCACCTTTTAATGTCAGAGGGCTGAAAACTCCACCCTGGGATCATGCTAACACTGCCATTTTTTGTACATGGGACCCATGAAGAAGCAAGAAACTCAATTGTGTGTGCATGCATTTCTCCTTCCATAAATATTCATGACTCCTCCTAGAGCTTATTAAATAAATCTATTTGGCCATTCCACTCAGCATAAATTGCTATTTCCTTTACCTCCTCCTTGAAGCATCTGTTTCTGGCTTCTGGCTGGAGGCTATGCTTCCCAGCCTGTCAGAAGGACAACCCTGCAGGCTACAACCCTTTATAGAAAATAAATCTCTCACTGGGTGGGTGGCTCATGCCTGTAATCCCAGCACTTTGGGAGGCCGAGGTGGGTGGATCACCTGAGGTCAGGAGTTTCAGACCAGCCTGGCCAACATGATGAAACCCTGTCTCTACCAAAACTGCAAAAAATTAGCCAGGTGTGGTGGTGGGCATCTGTAATCCCAGCTAATCAGGAGGCTGAGGCAGGAGAATCGCTTCAACCCAGGAGGTGGAGGTTGCAGTGAACCAAGATCATACCATTGCACTCCAGCCTGGGCAACAAGAGTGAAACTCTGTCTCAAAAAAAAAATAAAAATAAGCATAAAAATGAAGAAATGTCTCCTTTCCAAATTTATGAACCTCATCATTCTTCCGTTGACAGCATTAAAAGGTTCAAAAAGACCTTTCCATACTCTCCCACAGAAGCCCTAGAAATTATCATTTTGTTAATCATTCTGGATGCCTGAGAACTTGTAATCCAATGAGTAGAAAGTTTGGTACCCCAATTATGGCTGTCAACCTGCCAGTTCTCAGGAGTTTGTATAAAAGCCTAAATCCGAAAGGATCTCATCCCATTAGGACCCTTGTCTCCTTTTCTGTTACCTTTTCCCACTGGCTCTGGCAACAGGGGTCTTTCTTTCTCCTTGGCTATCTTTGGATATGGGGGCTCCGTCTTCTGTGCCACCTTAGGGAATGCCTTTTGCAGGCATGGCTAAGTCATTAAAAAGCCTACAGTTTCAGTAACATTTTGAGTGAGTACTCTCTGAAGCTGCGTTGGAATCTCAGGCTTCTTTGTCTGGAAGATAACTCTTGGGCTACAAGTTTCTTATCCTAGCTTTGGTTTTGAGGCCTCTCTGTTCTCCTCTTGGGTTGGAAGTTATTCCTGGCTTTTTGTTTCAAGGTGTCTCTGTGATCTTGATCTTGCTGCTTTCATGGGAACTTCTCAGTTCACTAAATTCTCCCTTCTCCAACCTCTGCTGACTATGTGTTCCACCAATATGGAACTAATTCTACTTCTTTTCCTGTTTGCATGACTTTACTAAGAATTATTTACAACTTTAATGGCTCCTTTGAGAAAATTTTTATTTTCCAAATTGCCTCCTTTTAGACCTTTCCTTTCCCAGTTGAGTCTCTCAACTCCCTATAATCACTGAAACTTCAGGCACCCCACTCCATGCCTTGGAGGCTCTCAATGTGCTCAAGAATCTGCAAAAGCAAACACCTGGGGCTGAAGAATAAAATAGAAAAAAAATTATTTCTCAGCCTCCATAAGATTCTATGTCAAAAAAAAAAGAAAATCTTTAAAATCTCCAAAAATATTGGTGAGAAAAAAGCCTTAGCCCTCATATGAAGAAGAAAAAACTTGTTCCATTTTCCAGACACATAGTTATAATACAAATATAAAATGGGGCAAAGACAAAAACCAAGTCTTCTATATAAAGTGGTGAATTTTGTAGTTATTGTAATCACATTAGGCAGGGGTCTCCATAAAGGCAGAATCAATAGGATATATGTAGATAGATGAGAGAAGATTCATTAGGGGAACTGGTTCACATAATTATGGAGGCTGAGAAGTTCCACAATAGCCTGTCTCCAAGTTGGAGAACCAGGAAAGCTGGTAGCATGGCTCACTCCAGATACAAAGGACTCAGAATCAGGGAAGCCAATGGTGTAACTCTGATTGTGAGGCCAAAGGTCTGAGACCCTGAAGTTCTGATGTCAAGGGCAGGAGAAGAAGGATGTTTCCATTTCAGAAGGAGATAATTCACCTTTCCTCTTCCTTGTTATTCTATCTGGGCTCTCAACCAATTGGATGGTGCCTGTATTCATCCATTTTTATACAGCTATGAAGAAATACCTGAGTCTGAGCAATTTATAAAGAACAAAGGGGTTTAATGGGCTGACAGTTCCACATGGCTGCAGGGGCCTCACAATCATGGCAGAAGGGGAAGCAAAGCTATCCCTCTTCACATGGCAGCAACAAGAAGTGCTGAGCCAAAGGGGAAAAGCCCCTTATAAAACCATCAGATCATGAGAACTCACTCACTGTCATGAGAACAGCATGGCGGTAACCACCACCATGATTCAGTCACCTCCCACTGGGTCCCTCCCACGACATGTAGGTATTACAGGAACTACAATTCAAGATGAGATCTGGGTGGGGACACAGCCAAACCATATCAGTGCCCATCCACATTGGGTCATGGTTATCTCAGTGTCTTCCAGAAACACCCTCATAGATATGCCCAGAAATCGTGTTTGACCAGCTATGTGTGTCTCTTAATCCACTCAAATAGATGTCTAAAATTAACTGTCAGAATATTTATGCCTGATTCATGGCTGAAATTGTTTGACCAGCTGTGTGTGTCCCTTAATCCAGTCAAGTAGATGTCTAAAATTAACCGTCAGAATATTTATGCCTGATTCATGGCTGAAATTGTGTTTGATCAGCTATGTGTGTCTCTCAATCCAATCAAGTAGATGCCTAAAGTTAACCATCAGAATATTTATGCCTGATTCATGGCTGAAATCGTGTTTGACCAGCTATGTGTGTCTCTTAATCCAGTCAAGTAGATGTCTACAATTAACCATCAGAATATTTATGCCTGCTTCATGGCTGAAATCGTGTTTGACCAGCTATGTGTGTCTCTTAATCCAGTCAAGTACATGTCTAAAATTAACCATCAGAATATTTATGCCTGATTCATGGCTGAAATCGTGTTTGACCAGCTATGTGTGTCTCTCAATCCACTCAAGTAGATGTCTACAATTAACCATCAGAATATTTACGCCTGATTCATGGCTGAAATTGTGTTTGACCAGCTATGTGTGTCTCTTAATCCAGTCAAGTAGATGTCTACAATTAACCATCAGAATATTTATGCCTGCTTCATGGCTGAAATCGTGTTTGACCAGCTATGTGTGTCTCTTAATCCAGTCAAGTAGATGTCTACAATTAACCATCAGAATATTTATGCCTGCTTCATGGCTGAAATCGTGTTTGACCAGCTATGTGTGTCTCTCAATCCAATCAAGTAGATGCCTAAAGTTAACCATCAGAATATTTATGCCTGATTCATGGCTGAAATCGTGTTAGACCAGCTATGTGTGTCTCTTAATCCAGTCAAGTAGATGTCTACAATTAACCATCAGAATATTTATGCCTGATTCATGGCTGAAATCTTGTTTGACCAGCTATGTGTGTCTCTTAATCCAGTCAAGTAGATGTCTACAATTAACCATCAGAATATTTATGCCTGATTCATGGCTGAAATCGTGTTTGACCAGCTATGTGTGTCTCTCAATCGGATCAAGTAGATATCTGAAATTAACCATCAGAATATTTATGCCTGATTCATGGCTGAAATTTCAGGATGAAAGCTATGAAATCTCTATTTGTGTTTGTATATCTATTAATGTATGTTATGTATATGTGATATTTTCTTAACTCCAGAGATCATTGCAAAATTCATTTATGAAATCCTCTAAAAGTGCTCTATTCTAACTTGGCTTGGAAAAAAATAAGCATTTATAAATAAATATTCACCAAACTCCTAGAAATATAGGAACTGATCAAATGTTTCTTAAGTTAACATGATTTGGATAAAACTTAGTTAAATAAGATTAATATAGTATTTTTGGTGTAATAAAACAACTATATCTTCAAAATTATCATTATTGAATATAAAACAAGCATAAATTCCTATTCTGCTTGAGTTCTAGTCAAATAAGCTAATATTATACTTACTAGAAATGTAAAATCTTAAAGCTTATAGATTTGATTCTAATTAAGTTGTCATTCTTATGAAAAACATTATTTTTTTATGCTGAAAAAATACACATATATTTAGAGTTAGCCAGCTGGACTCAGTTTAGATGATCCCAATTTTGTTACAACATCGAAAGCATCATAATCAGGAGCAAGTCGAACATATGCCTTGTTCTCTTTATCAGGACAAATCAGGGTGGTGACCTTGGCCACATCACTGTCATAGAGCTTCTTCACAGCCTGTCTGATCTGGTGCTTGTTGGCTTTAACATCCACAGTGAACACAAGCGTGTTGTTTTCTTCTATCTTCTTCCGGCCGACTCAGTGGTCAGCGGAAACTTGATGATAGCATAGTGGCCAAGCTTGTTTCTCCTGGGGGTGCTCTTCCGAGGATATCTGGGCTGCCTCCGGAGTCGCAGTGTCTTGGGCCGCCTGAAGGTGGGTGACATGCGGATCTTCTTTTTTGCGTGTGGCTGCGGACACCTTTCAACACTGCCTTCTTGGCCTTTAAAACCTTCACTTTGGCTTCGGCTTTAGGAGGAGCAGGAGCTTCCTTCGCTTTCGGTGCCGTCTTGTGAAAAGCGAAAAACATTATTTCAAAAATAATTTGTTTACAGTAAATCTGCCTAAGAATAGTTTCCAAAGTACTTTTGGTAATTTTTAACCTTAAAGTTAAGCTAAGTAAAAGATCTGCATTAAATATCTAGACCATTTATAAATAAGATACAATACTAAAACATTAATTACTGAACATAAATAATTCAAGTTTATATACTTTTGGCTTCCTGTTTTTACAGAGAGACTAAAGATATTTTGGCCCGTTAATAAACATGTTTTTTTCTGCCACACTGAGGAATTGTATTATGAGGAAACACATCCCTCTAGATGTTGGGAGATGGTATATTCATACATTTTCTAACCTACTATAGAATGCTAATATATGACAGTTTATAACTGTCTACTTCCTAGTTTTCTCTGGAAAATAAAAGATTACTAAGTATTAAAATTATAATCAATATATGTAAATAAAACTACTAGAAATAATAGAATAACTAGAAACAACTCTATGCAAAGCATGCAAGAAAAGTAGGGCATGTTTCGCAAGTAAAGTAGGTTGCATTTTTCATAAGGAAAACCATACAGAAGATACAAATAAAAAGAGATACCTAACCTTCCCTGTGTTATATTTGTATGGGTAAAATGTTATATTTTCAGAAATTATATAAAATTCCTGGAAGTTTGTCAATGTCCTCCTTATCCATGCTATGTGCCACTATAGAGTAATGAGTCATAATTCCAATTATTACTTTAAATGTTGTGCCAGGCACAGTGGCTCATGCCTATAATCCCAGCACTTTAGGAGGCTGAGGCGGGTGGATCACAAGGTCAGGAGATCCAGACCATCCTGGCTAACCCGGTGAATCTCCATCTCTATTAAAAATATAAAAAATTAGCTGGGCGTGATGGCAGGCACCTGTAGTCCCAGCTACTCGGGAGGCTGAGGCAGGAGAATGGCGTGAACCCAGGAGACAGAGCTTGCAGTGAGCCGAGATCGCACCGCTGCACTCCAGCCTGGGCGACAGAGCAAGACTCTGTCTCTGAATAAATAAATAAATAAATGTTGTCTGCCACAGAAAAAATAGAATATCCTTGTCAGTTGTGGTATAATGAACTCTCATCAGATCTTTCATCACAGCCATTTCATACTTTTTGTCATTTAGATATTATTTCCCCCTGATGCTTTCCTGAAAGCTCCTGCAATCAACTACAGGTCAGAATGTTCGTCTCCAAGACAGGACTCCCTCTGAGACTCACAGAAAAGACTATGACAGGTACTCTGGTTATAGGCTTCTGATGATATTGCTTAAATAACTTTAAGACCATACACTTGACTCAGTTAAGGTCTCCAGAAGTCTGGTTGGGAAACTGATGGGTTCATGACACTGCTAACTCAAGATCCACAAGACTGGAATTGATTACATGGCACTGAATGAACTGATGAAAATTGATTATAATTGTATAGCTTTTTGGAGCATTGCTGGTTAATATTCTAGTTTCTGGATTTAAGAAATCTCTTTCTCTTACTCTAACTGTAACTTACAACAATTTAGTAGATTATACTTTTGTAAACAGAAATGAAGCGTTTATCTTTTTTTCTTGGCTGATTTTTCCAGAATTTTGAAATCCTTACTGAATACTCTTATTTCCACGATGATATTGTTGTTAGCAAAAGTCCAGTAAGAATCTATTCACCTTATAACAGGACATAATTGGAAATTTTGGTTATATTATCAAGGTTTTTACTGGAATATCATATTTAGGAAGTGTACCTAAGATCAGTTATGACCAGCAATTTTAAGGAAGTAAGGTTGACTTTTATGGAGACAATGCTTACAAAGCACTGTGGAAAACTTTGAGGAAAGTTCTTCCTTAAAGATTATAAAGTCACAACTACCCACTATTTTTATATGTGTGTGTGTGTGTGTGTTCCAAATCACTTGTCCTAGCTTGCTCCAGCATGCCTGGACAGAACTAGACAAGCCCCAGCCCATAGTGCATGTCATTCCTTATTTGGAGATGCTTCCTTAACTATCCCTGGGCAACTTCCTTTTCTTTCCTTCTTCTATTCCCCTTACCTAATTAAGAAAGTTTTAAACTAACAGCCAATCGGGTAAAGTGTAAAATGGGAGGTCCTATTCCAGCCAATGGAAACTGGACACAGCAGTAGGGTAGACACGTCAGGTTATAAGTAACTCTGTCTCCTTTGTTTGGTGTGCTCTTGTAGCTGGACAGCTATTGAGTAGCACCCTTTGTGCAGAAAAATAAAGCTCGCCTTGCTAAGAGATCATTTGTTCCCATGTTAGTTCTTTTTTTTCGGGGGGGGAACATAAAAAACTTCATTCCCAACAGCACTCTGAGAAAACCCAGCCTGATACCTAGATTACAGGGTTCACAGCCTTATAGGTTAGTAAGGAAGGTCATTTCCTGGTAGGCCCAGGAATTTAGGGATATTTTGGGGCCTCAAGAAGAGAGGAATTCACACAAAGCTATAAGGACTGCAGCTGAAATTTGATAGTATGCTCTTGGCTTGGCTTTTAGCCTGAATAAGGCCTTTAAAAGTCAAGTCTGAGATTCTGTATGAAAACTTCCAGCAAAGAAACCTGAAAGCACCTACGTGGTCATCTCCTGTTCTTGCTGCACTTACGTAAATAATCAAGCAAAATCTAACAAAACTAGACTTATTTTTAAAACAAGAATAGTCTTACTTTGATTATGATAAAAAATGATGGTTACTACAGAGAGAAATTTTATCTTTCAAAGGAAAAGTATAACACAGCCGGGCATGGTGGCACATGCCTATAATTACAGCCCTTTGGAAGGCCAGGAGTTCAACATCAGCCTGGGCGACATGGTGAAACCCCGTCTCTACCAAAAATACAAAAATTAGATGGGCATGACGGCATGTGCCTGTAGTCCCAGGTAATCAGGAGGCTGAGGAGGGAGGATCGTTTGCACCCAGGAGGTAGAGGTTGCAGTGAGCTGAGATTGCACCTTTGCACTCCAGCCTGGGTGACAGAGCCAGACCCTGTCTCAAAAAAAATTTTTTTAAAGGAAAACTATAGCCATTGTGAGTTATCAGATTCTAGTCTTGTTTCTTGTTTCTGGGCTATTTTTACCTCTTTGTAAACTGGATCCTGCCATCTGATGAATTTTGTCCCACAATGATACTTGGGGAACAAGAAGCCAAGTATTGTCTCTCCTACTAATGTATCTATTGTCAGTTAATTTGAAGGTCTCCAACCCTGGAACAAAGTTAGAAGAGGAAGGTTCTGCTCCCCAAAATGCATAACCAAATTGTGCTACATTCATGTAATGGAATACTATTTAGCCATAGAAAGGAACAAGATATCAACACACACAAAGACATGAGTGAATCTTGCATGCACATTGCTAAGTGGAAGAAGACAGTCTGAGGAGGATACACACAGTGTGACCTCATTTAATGAGACACTGGAGAAGGCAAACTACACAGATGGGAAGCCATTGGCTCCATGGGGTGGGGGTTTGAGGCATTCCATTTGATACTTTAATAGTGGGTTATCTGCCACAATGCATTTGTCGAAATATGCAGAATTTTACAGCCAAATGGTTAAAGCAAACTCTATTCAAATTAAATCAAATTACTCAGGATGTGGAGTATCCCAGGACAGAATACATCATGTGAAAAAGAATTTATGCTACAAATTACTATGGTTTGGATGTGGTTTGTCCCCACAAAAACTCATGTTGAAATTTGACTCCCACTGGGTCAGTGTGGGGCGGTGGGGCCTAGTGGACGGTGTTTGGATCATGGGGACGGATCCCTCATGAATAGATTAATGTCCTCCATGGGGGTGAGTGAGTTCTGTTCTCACAGGAATAGATAATTCCTGCAGGAGTAAGTAATTAAAAAGAGTCTGGCTTCCTTGGCTTCCCTCTTGCTTTCACTTCTGCTATGTGATCTCTGGTGCACCCCTTGCTCCCCTTCCACTTTCCACCATGAGGTGAAAAAGACTGAGGCCCTGCCAGATGCAACTGCCCAATCTCAGACATTCCAGCCACCAGTATTGTGAACCAAATGAAACTTTTTTACTTATAAATTGCGCAGCCTCAGGTATTCTGTTACAGAAGCACAAAATGGACTAAGACACAAATCTAGGTAAAAACTTTGAAAATGAATAGAATCTGTAGGCTGAAGGCACATGAACTATACTTCATTATTGGATTCCATTTTATAAAGTTCTTTCCAAAAGAAGCAATTGTGAACAATTGTAAAACCACAGTGTCTGTATCTGGAATAAAACAATGACTTACATAAGTCGCAGATGGTGGGAACCCGGTTTCTTACTGTTGAAGTGGGAGGTTACAAATTAGCAAGGCGAGAAGGCTAGAATGATTCATGTGATAGTAGATCAGAGGTGGAGACATCAACGTAAACTTATGTTTAGTTTAATATAGACACACACAGTTCTACATAGAAAACTTTATAATTAGGTGTGTATAGGTAGGTTAGACACACACATATACTTCCTAGCATTGCCAATGAGGGAGAAGATACAATGTGCTCATTCAGCAGCCAGATGTAAGTTTTCCTACCATTCTGAAAGGAATCAGGCTCTTTGAAGAAATGTCTGATACTAGAACTGGGACAGTAAATATAGGAACCAGGATAATCTGGAAGTATCAGAAAGTAAGTACTAAAAAAATTAAAACATATCAAAGAAAAATAAAAGCCAATAAAAACAGCTACTGATGGCCAACACAGGAATGAATTGTGCAACATAATACTGTAGAGTTGAATAATAACTAAAGCTTAAAGTAATTATCTAGGTGTCTGTATTTGTATACCTCGGTGAATAAGCAAATGGAGTTGCATAGAAATCTCCTTTGCAAAAGAATTCCAAATAATTGATGTAGACACTCAGCCGTCAAGAAGGTGGAGCCAACTCCTTACGGAGTGAGGCTCTGCATAGTGACTTGCTCCAAAAGAACACATGCAGTACGGACAAGGAGGAGAAATAGCCTCACAGTGGAGAAACCTGACAAACATTAACTCTGCCAAATGATCCAAGTGAACATCAAAGGTGACAGTTCAACTTGAGAACATGAAGTGACAATGGGGGACATTCTACAACATTCCTGACCAATCCTCCTCAGTGCTATGAAGGTCATCATGAGATGGAAAGCCTGACACACTGTCACAGCCAGGAAGAGCCCACGTGATGTCTACATGTCATGCGGGATCCTGGATGGGATCCTGGGTCAGAGTAAGATAGAACTAAGGGAATCCAAATGAAATATGAACTTCGGTTAATAATAGTCTATCAGTATTGGTTCATTAACTGTGACAAATTATGTAAGATATTAATAAGCCATGTGAGACACACTGATAGAAGATGTTAATAAGAGAGGAAACTAGGTTGCGGCTACATGGGAAATCTCTGCTTTTTTTTGACAATTTCTGTGTAAGTAAAAAAGATGATGTAAAATAAAACTTTATTTAAAACACTGTTTTTTTTGAACACTTCCTTGTTTAATTATTTATACCATGAATTACTAGTAATTGACACTGTTAACTAGTCCTGTTTTTTTAAATAAGAGTATTTATGACACAAAAAATTAAACAGTGCAGACTGATACATAAATCAAATGTTCTTTACATGTTTTCTGTTGCAGTAGTAACACATATGTGTAAACTTAATTATCACGTTTTTCTTGTGCAGTGGTTGTGTCCTGAGTTCATTCTCTAAAATGCTGTTCACCTTAGACCAGGAAAAATATTAACCATACAGACTTTGTTTTAATTCATAGCTAAATATTTTCAAAAGAGTGACTTTGTAAAAATATGTTCCAATGGCAAATTGATTCATTGTGATGGGATCACTTATTCCAAAGACTTCCTGTCTTTATTTTGTTGCCATGCCTACCTTTTAGCCATGATAAAACAGAATCAAATATTGGCCACTGGGAAAAAATATTCAAAGCAAGAAAGAATGTGAACAGAACTTATGACCATGATGATTCAATGTTTTACCACAATGCTTTCTAAAACAGAAGAGTGTAAAAGGATATTCAAAGTCAATTTCCTCAGCAAGGCTTTGCAGAAAATGAGGAAACTACAGAAACAAAAATGGCAGGACATTCTACGGGTGATTTTAAATGTTGCTATGTTTTATGGGAAAAAATACTTTACCTTTTAAAGAATCACAAAGAATTATTGGAAACCCAAACTCTGGAATGTTTGCAAATTTAGTTGAGCTTCTATGTAATTATGTCTATATAGGTAGCCAGGAAGTTGATGATTTTTTAAAAATCTGTGCCTTATTTGTGTGATAAAATACACAATGAATAATTAATGCTCATAGGAAAACCTTATGAAGGGAAAATAAATCTTGGGGACCCAAAATCACTAAGCTAAAGGGAAAAGTCAAGCTGGGAACTGCTTAGGGCAAACCCGCCTCCCATTGTATCCAAAGTCACCCATCTGCTCACCGAGATAAATGCATACCTGATTGCCTCATTTGGAGAGGGTAATCAGCAATGCAAAAGAATGAAACCATTTGTCTCTTACCTACCTATGACCTGGAAGCCCCCTGTCTGGCCTTCTCACCTTTCTGGACTGAACCAATGTACATCTTACACGTATTGATTGATGTCTCATGTCTCCCTAAAGTGTATAAAACCAAGCTGTGCCCCTACCACCTTGGGCCCATGTTGTCAGGACCTCCTGGGGAGGCATCACGGGTGCACATCCTCAAGATTGGCAAAATAAACTTTCTAAAAAATCTGAGAGCTGTCTCAGATTTTCAGGGTTCACACATGTAATGTAGGATGTCAATGTTTATAAAACAGACATTATTCTATCTACTATTAGAAATATGCTGCCAATTAACCTTACACTTTCTCAACAAAATAAAAAATGTTGATGAGGTACAAATAATATATCTAAGCTTAAATATTGTTACAAGTTTTAATATGCCTACTTTTCAATTTTTCAATACTATTTTTACTAATTTAACACTTTAAGTGAATAACTAAAACATGAATAAGTGTTTACAAGGGGTGCACATGTTTCCTCCAGCCTCTGCCTATCCCCAGCTTTCATCCCAACTGTCTTGATGGTGGCTCTAAGCATTTCTCCTTTCTCTATGCCAAGATCTCTCCCAGAAACAAACCCAAACCTTACTATATGTTATGGCACGCTATGATGATGAGCAGTGATGAGCAGCCGAAGCCTCAAGGAAGGGATGCTTTTGTAAAACAAGACTTGTAGAATATAACGTGTGAAAGTAAAGCCCATGGCAGAGCTCCCTCCTCAGCACACGGGGAGCAGACAGGAAGCTTTTGCCTCACCTTCCTCAATGGCCTGCAGCCACGTCTCCCAGGTCAGTCTTAAGGACAACGAAACTCTGGTCTTCACTGTGGACATGCCACACTACCAGGTGCTCCAAAGCCATGGTGACCCATCCTCGGGTGGGTCCTGAGAACAAAGCTCTGGTTCTAATCCTAACCCTAACCCTGTCCCAAGACTTTGAGCCTGAACCTAAATCCTGATCCCTACCCTGGTCCTTAATTCTGACCCTTACTTTAACCCTGACTTTGATCTTGACCCTGACCATGACCCCACCTCTAACCATACTTCCGGCCCTGACTCTGACCCAGATCCTAATCCTATGCCTAACCCTATTATTATCTTTACAATCTATCTCTACTCTTACCCTCTAGTGCTAAATAGCTGTACCCAAAAGCACTTTTAAATTATTTCTTTTCTTGAATTCTCTATGGACATCCTAAAGGAGATGTCAATATGTATTGCATTCCCTCTGAGTGGTATGGCTTCAGATATGAAGTTCTAATACTTTGCAAGACATAAAAAGTTTGGAGGGTAACAGCACTGGGTTGTTAGGGATGTATGTTGGCATTCATGATAGTCATTGGTGTTGTTCTCCAAATATTTTCAGTTCATTTTTTATGAATGCATTCTGACTGTTCCATCCCACCTACTTAAATTTTCCCATGGCCACATGACTTTTTTTTTTTTTTTTTTTTTTTTTTTTTTGCCAATGGAGGTGAGAAGAAATAACATGTGACTTTTTCAGGAGAAATCTCCAAGAAACAGCGTTCTATTCCACATGCTTTTTTCTCTTTTCTATAGCAATGGGGATCTTATTGACAGTCCCTCCTTCCTTCTGGATTCCTGTGTTAGGATGACACAGCACAGAGCTACCTCTCACCTGACCAGTCATGAGATGTAAATAAATGAGGAAGAAGATTTTTGAGCCACTGAAATTTGGAGGTTGTTTGTCACCACAGTTTAAGCTAGCCCCCACTGACTGATGCACGGCTGAAGAATGAGTCCGAACTGGCTCTGGACAAGACATGTGAAGAGCGCTCCAGGCTGAGTAAAATTCAAGGGTTGCCTCAAAGATAACAGTGAGCACGATATGTTATTGGGGTGGGTGTGGGATAAATAAGGTATATCAGGTGAGAATAAGAATAAACTCAACTTTAAAAGACGGCGCTGATTTGCACTGTGGAGAGATTCAAATGCCCTGCTTAGCATTTGAGATTGTGATGGATGAACAAACTAATTAAGAGCCCAAAATGAAAGCTGGGGATAAATATCTGAAGGTGTCTAATATCCCAATTTTTCATCCTAGAATGGGCAGAGTCCTTGACCCCATTCTAGGGAGACTTCCAAAAGAAAAAAGACCTGCATTTCTTCAACAACCCACACTGAGAGACTTTCCTGTACTTTTGACCTGTGGCTAACACTCCTCACCTTTCATTCTGTCATCAGTGTTTTGGGGAAGCACCTTTATCTCTCTGATTTACAGGTTATTAAGTGGCCCTTACAATTCCCTCCAGAGATGGAAAAGACATGATGGTGTCTGACCTCACAGCAGCAAGCAAGCATGTGTGCTCAGAAGCCACATGGCTCATCTGCTAGGAGCTTACTAAATACGATGTTCTACAACATTGCCTAACACAAGGGGAGACGCTCCTGACTCACAGTGTTTAATTGCTCATCTACTTCATTTTCTGCCCTCTTGGGCTTATAAAATGAAAAGAACCCTGGGGTGATACAGTGAATCAAAGGGGTGCCAGCCACATCACAGCAAAATAGATTCCTAAAAGATCCCTGGCCTAAGATGACAGTCTTGGCTGGATACGTTTGAATGTGCTCATAGTGGATGTGGTAGAATGAAGCTGGTTGAAATGTTCATATTAAAGAACTTCCACCCAGATTGCAAAAAGAGAGAGAGGAATGGAGATGGCAGCACAAGTCCCTACATAAAAGCAGATGTTTTGAGATCAGTTATATTTCTTCTGACAAAAATTGAAGACAGAAACGAAAGTTTAGCCTGAGACTACAATTAATTGGGCAATAAGCCAGAGGCACATATGGCATAGGCAGATTTAAACATTTCTCCCTTATATTAATACAAATACTAAAATTACAAATACTTTGATTCCAAATAAAACAAATATTTTAAAAATTTAATGAATAAATACTAGGGTCTACAGTAGTATTTGAAGGAGATCTCACAAACAGGTTTGGTTTTTGAAGGTTAGAACTAGTGGTCTGGAGAATTCATTTCATTCCGAGACAGAAAGAGGAATTTCTTGGGTTCCTTCAGGAATGCGTCTAGTTTTGCCTCATCTTTGTTTGAACTATAGATACAGCAGAAGAAAACATGAGGATTTCACAGATTTAAGGTGCAAAAAGTCACTGGGTTCTCTAAGAAGTCTGGGATTCTTCTGCTGGAAAAATAAGTTTGTTGAGAAAAAATGAGTTGGAGGAGGCTGTTATTGAAGTGAAGCAGAATTGTTTTTACTAATCTGCTTATTACCCACTCTGTAATGTGGAAACAAATTATTCACTCACAAGGTCCTCTTACTGTTCCTAGAATGCAGTGGAAAGAGAAAAGATTAGTTTTTCTCCCTCAGAACACAACCACTAGAAACATTCTACCTCAGATGAGATATTGCTTAATTATTTTCAAAAGACAGTGAAAAATCATGGATGTAAATGTTTGCTGCAAAATAAATACACGCTAGAAACAGAAGCATCTCAGTCACAGCTATATTAGAGCTACCTGTGTTCCCCTGTCACTGAGATTAAAACAAAAATGTCCAATACAATCATTCACAGCATGGGAAAGGGGAAGTTGAAGGATGGAAAGGCCAGGCATAAAAGGATTTCAGAATTTCCGTCCATAAGGAAGTGGATTTGTGCATTGTCTGTTACTGTGTGCAAGGTGAAGTTTGGAGAATGAAAACGTGCAGTAACAAGGGCTCCTTTGTCCATCTCACCTCTCCAGATACCACGTTTCAGACATGTTGCATTTCACTTGAAAGGTTGATATAATTCTTTTAAAAGAACACTTGCGGTGTTTGAAGCGACAAAGGCTGCTGTGACAAAAAAGCAGTGAAAGGGAATTTTTTTTAAAAAAAGCAAACAACAACAACAAAAACCCCACAGAAAAGCAAACAACAAACAAACAAAAAACAGAGGAAGAAGTCAAACACCCTGAGCTATGACTACTTCAAGGAAGGGGCTACAAGAGGCAGTTGGAAATTCCATTTGCTTTGCAACTGTGGGTTTTCCAGCCTGCTTCCTTTCTAAAGTATATTACTCTGCTTTTGGTTCATGAAATTTTCAGTTTCTGTTTTCTGGAACAGCTATGTACTTTCTTTATCTATCATCTATCTATCTACCTTCCTATCATCTATCTATCTGTTTACTATCTGTCTTTTCTACCTTTTGCTATCAAAAGCTTGGGTCAAGCAGTATAGAATTCCAGTGTATGTTCACTCTACCATTTAAAACAAGAACTCTTGTAGGAATTCTCCATCACATCATAAACCTGAGCTTTCTAAAACAAGGTGTGGCAAACTACCATACATGGACTATGTCTGACACAGTCTGCGTTTGTAAGTAAAGTTGTAATGGGACACAGCCACATACATGTGTTATATAACGTCTCTGGCTACTTTCATGGTATAATGGAAGAGCTGAGTCATTGAGAGAGAGACCATATGGCTTGGAAAATTTAAAATATTTAACATTTAGCCCTTTGCAGAAAATATTTGCTGACTCTTGTTTTAAAAGATCTCTGTGGCCAGGCGTGGTGGCTCACGTCTGTAATCCCAGCACTTTGGGACGCCGAGGCTAGCGGATCACGAGGCCAGGAGATCAAGACCATCCTGGCTAACCCAGTGAAACCTCGTCTCTACTAAAAATACAAAAAAATTAGCCGGGTGTGGTGGCGGGCGACTGTAGTCCCAGCTACTCCAGAGGCTGAGGCAGGAGAATGGTGTGAACCTGGGAGGAGGAGCTTGCAGTGACCCGGGATCGTGTCACTGCATTCCAGCCCGGGCAACAGAGCAAGACTCCATCTCAAAAAAAAAAAAGGATCTCTGTTTAGAATGCTACCTATTGCCTTCTGGATAGAATCACAACTCTTTACCACAAACAACACAGCTTCAGCCCTGCTTCTATATCCAGCCTCATCTATTTCTGCTCCTCCTCCTTATTTTCCTCCTGGACATGCTGATGGATTGTCAGCTTCCCAGATGTGTGAGAGTCTCTCCTGCCTTCCTAACATTCTCATGCTCTCCCTCTGCCTCTCAAGAAATTCCTGCCACATCTCTCATGACAAATCCCTTCTTCATTCTTTAAGATGAAGCCCCTTTGCTCCTTCCTTAAGGATGTCTGTCTGGCTTCATTTTGGGGGACGTGCTCCTTCTGCATCTCCCAGAGCCAGCCTGTGTGTGTCAGCTACAACATTTCTTTGCATCTCTGTGTCATATATCACCAAATCTGCCTAAGCTTGAGTGAGTCACTGCATGACAATTTCAGACTCCACCAGCAATGTCCCCACTAACCACGAGGCTTAGACATTTGTCCAGTATGCTGCGGGTTGTGGGGTGGTAGCAGTAACCAGCTGGTGAGCATCATTTCTTACATCAGAATCAAATCTGTAGATCTCTGCCATTCATAAGTATTTGGAGTTTAAAATTAGCATATTTTCCTTAAAATAAGAACAAATGGCTTGAGTAGGCTTTTGGAACGTAGGATGTTTCCATTGGTTCATTTCTGTGTTCAGTATTCCCATATGAATCTAAACACTACTCTGCTATTAGTAGCTGTGTGACCCTGGGAAAGTCACTCAATCTCCCTCAGCTAAATTTTGTTGTGTGTGTAATGAGAAGAGAGTTGTGATTTGTATTTAGTGAATAAAAACAAACAAAAAGCATTTAGCTTTCTGGAACCTGGTATGTAGTAGAACCTCATGTAAATACTAGCTCTGTTGATAAAACTAGACCAAAAGAAGGTTTCAAGGTCAACAACAGTATGAGGCAGTGAAGAACATAGAGGAGAAGCTGCTTCTGCAGCCTGTAGCTCCTGGGGACCCGTTTTGTCCATGATTTAGCAGGAACACACTACCTTTCCATGAGGAGAAACTGTCCACAGAAACCAAGGCCATTCTTTGAAGACAAACATGTCTTAATAGCCTATATATTAAGTAATAGTGTAATATAAATAATAATTTATTATTAGTAATAATGTGAAATTATTTACACTACCCTAACCCTAAACCTAACCCCAATCCTAACCCTAACCTTAACCCTAAAACCTAACCCTAACCCTAACTGTAACCCATAACCCTAACCCTAACCCTAAACCTAACCCAGCCCTAACCCCTAACCCTAACCCCTAACCCTAACCAGTAACCCTAACCCTAACTCTTAACCTGAACCCGAATCCAAACTTGAACCTGAACCCTAAGCCTTACCCTAAGCCTAAGCCTAACCCTAAGCCTAAGCCTAACCCCTAACCCTAACCCTAACCCTAAACCTAATGCTCACCCTAACCCTAACCCTCACCCTCACCCTGACCCTCACCCTAACCCTCACCCTCACCCTAACCCTCACCCTCGCCATTGTGACATATTGCAGGAAACAAAATCCAGGTGATGTAACTCTTGTTTAGCCTCTGCCTACAGGAGGCATTGTGACATATCTCTACACTGATCACACAGGTGATGGAACTCTTGTCTAGGCTCTGCCTATGGGGGCACTGTGATAGATCTCTGCACTGATCACCCAAGTGATGTAATAATTGTCTACACTCTGTCTACGGCAGCTTTGACATATGTCTGCACTGATGACCCAGATGATGTAACTCTTGTCTAGTCTTTTCCTATGTGGGTTTTGTGACTTCTCTCTGCACTGATCGCCCAGATGATGTAACTTTTGTCTAGGCTCTGCTTACTTGGGGGATTGTGACATATCTCTGCAAAGATCACCCAGATGATGTAACTCTCCTCTAGGCTCTGCCTACTGGGGGCATTGTTACATATCTCTGCACTGATCACCCAGGTGATGTAACTCTTGTGTTGGATCTGCCTATGGGGGCATTGCAACATATTTCTGCACTGATCACCCAGGTGATGTAACTCTTGTCTAGGCTCTGTCTACTGGGAGCATTGTGACATATTTCTGCACTGATCACCCAGGTGATAGGACTCTTGTCTAGGCTCTGCCTACTGGAGCATTGTGACATATCTCTGCCCTTATGACCCAGGTGATGTAACTCTTGTCTAGGCTCCGCCCACAGGGGACATAGTGACATATCACCGTACTGATCATCCAGGTAATATAATTCTTATCTAGGCTCTGCCTACAGGGGGCATTGTGAAATATCTCTGCACTGATCATCTAGGTGATGTAACTCTTGTCTATACTCTGCCTGCAGGGACATTGTGAGATATCTCTGCACTGATCAACCAGGTGATGTAACTCTTGTCTAGGCTCTGCTTACGGGGGTATTGTGACATAGCTCTGCACTGATCACCTAAGTGATGTAACACTGGTGTAGGCTCTGCCTACATGGGCATTGTGACACATCTCTGAACTGATCAACCAAGTGATGTAACTCTTGTCTAGGCTCTGCCTATGGGGGCTTTGTGACATATCTCTGCACTGATCACCTTGGTGATGGGACTTTTGTCTACGCTCTGCCTATGGGGGCATTGTGACATATCTCTACACTGATCACCCAGGTGATGTAACTCTTGTGTTGGATCTGCCTATGGGGGCATTGCGACATATTTCTGCACTGATCACCCAGGGGATGGGACTGTTGTCTAGGCTCTGTGTATGGGGGCTTTGTGACATATCTCTGCACTGATCACTCAGGTGATGTAACGCTTGACTAGGCTCTGCCTACTGGGGCGTAGTGGCATATCACTGCATTGATCACTCAGGTGATGTAACTATTGTCTAGGCTCTGCTTAAAGGGGCCTTGTCACATATCTCTGCACTGATCACCCAGGCGATGGAACATTTGTCTAGGCTCTGCCTACATGGGCATTGTGACACATCTCTGAACTGATCAACAAAGTGATGTAACTCTTGTCTAGGCTCTGCCTACAGGGGCTTTGTGACATATCTCTGCACAGATCACCCAGGTGATGGGACTTTTGTCTAGGCTCTGTCTACGGGGGCATTGTGACATATCTCTACACTGATCACCCAGGTGATGTAACTCTTGTGTTGGATCTGCCTATGGGGGCATTGTGACATATTTCTGCACTGATCACCCAGGTGATGTAACACTTGTGTTGGATCTGCCTATAGGGGCATTGTGACATATTTCTGCACTGATCACCCAGGTGATGGGACTCTTGTCTAGGCTCTGTGTATGGGGGCTTTCTGACATATCTCTGCACTGATCACCCAGGTGATGTAACGCTTGACTAGGCTCTGCCTACGGGGCATAGTGACATATCGCTGCATTGATCACCGAGGTGATGTAACTCTTGTCCAGGCTCTGCCTATAGGGGGCCTTGTGACGTATCTCTGCACTGATCATCTAGGTGATGTAACTCTTGCTTACGCTCTGCCTGCAGGGGCATTGTGAAATATCTCTTTACTGATCAAGCAGATGATGTAACTCTTGTCTAGGCTCTGCCTACAGAGGGCATTGTGGCATAACTCTGCACTGATCACCCAGGTGATGGGACTCTTCTCTAGGCTCTGCCTACTGGCGGCATTGTCACATATTTCTGCACTGATCACCCAGGTGACTGACTCTTGTCTTGGATTTGCCTATGGGGGCAATGTGACATATCTCTGCACTGATCACCCAGGTGATGTAACTCTAGTCTAAGCTCTGCCTAAAGGGGCATTGTGACAGATCTCTGCACTGATCACTCAGGTGATGTAACTATTGTCTAGGCTCTGCTTAAAGGGGCCTTGTCACATATCTCTGCACTGATCACCCAGGTGATGTAACTCTTGTCTAGGCTCTGCTTACAGGGGGTATTGTGACATATCTCTGCACTGATCACCTAAGTGATGTAATACTTGTGTAGGCTTGCCTACAGGGGCATTTTGACATATCTCTGCACTGTTAACCGAGGTGATGTAACTCTTGTCTAGGCTGTGCCCACAGGGGGATTGAGACATATCTCTGCACTGATCCCGAGGTGATCCAACTCTTGCCTGGTCTCTGCCTACTGGGGACATTGTGACATATCTCTGCACTGATCTCCCAGGTGCTGTAACTTTTGTCTAGGCTCTGGCTACACAGCATTGTGACATATCACTGCACTGATCACCCAGGTGATATAACTCTTGTCTAGGCTCTGCCTACAGGGGGCTTGTGACATATCTCTGCACTGATCACCCAGGTGATATAACTCTTCTCTAGGATCTGCTTACAGGGTGCTTTGTGACATATCCCTGCAATGATCACCCAGGTGATGTACCACTTGTCAAGGCTCTGCCTACAGGGGCATTGCGATGTATCTCTGCACTGATCACCTAGGTCATGTAACTCTTGTCTAGGCTCTGCCTACAGTGGCATTGTGACATATCTCTGCACTGATCACCCAGGTCATGTAACTCTTGTCTAGGATCTGCCTACAGGGTGCTTTGTGACATATCCCTGCAATGATCACCCAGGTGATGTACCACTTGTCAGGGCTCTGCCTACAGGGGCATTGCAATGTATCTCTGCACTGATCACCTAGGTCATATAACTCTTGTCTAGGCTCTGCCTACAGTGGCATTGTGACATATCTCTGCACTGATCACCCAAGTAATGGGACTCTTTTCTAGGATCTGCCTAAAGGGACTTTGTGACATAACTCTGCACTAATCATCCAGGTGATGGGGCTTTTGTCTAGGCTCTGCCTAAGGGGGCATTGTGACGTATTTCTGCACTGATCACCCAGGAGACGGACTCTTGTCTTGGATCTGCCTATGGGGGCATTGTGACATATATCTGCACTGATCACCCAGGTGATGTAACTGTTGTATAAGCTCTGCCTACAGGGGAATTGTGAGAGATCTCGCCACTGATCACCCAAGTGATGTAACTATTGTCTAGGCTTTGGCCTACAGGGGGCTTTGTGACATACCTTTGCTCTGATCACCCAGGTGATGTAACTCATCTAAGCTCTGCCTACAGGAGCTTTGTGACATATCTCTGCACTGATCACTTAGGTGATGTAACACTTTTATAAGCACTGCCTACAGGGAATTTCGACAAATCTCTGCACTGATCACCTAGGTGATGTAACTCTTGTCTACCCTCTGCCTACAGGGGGCGTTGTGAAATATCTCTGCACTGATCACCCAGGTGATGCAACTCTTGTCTAGGATCTGCCTACAGGGGGTATTGTGAAATATCTCTGCACTGATCAACTAGGTGATGTAACTCTTGTCTAAGCTCTGCCTACAGGGGCGTTTTCACATATCCCTGAACTGATGACAAAGGTGATGTAACTCTTGCCTAGGCTTTGCCTACAGGGGACATTGTGACATATCTCTGCACTGATCACCCAGGTGGTGCAACTCTTCTCTGTGCTCTGCCTACAGGGGACATTGTGACATATCTCTACACTGATCACCCAGGTGATGCAACTCTTCTCTATGCTCTGCCTACAGGGGGCATTGTGACATATCTCTGCACTGATCACCCAGGTAATGTAACTCTTTTCTAGTCTCTGCCTACAGAGGGCGTTGTGACATCACTCTGTACGGATCACCTGGGTTATGTAACTCTTGTCTAGGCTCTGCCTACAGGGGCATTGTGACGTATCTCTGCACTGATCACCGAGGTGATGCAACTCTTGTCTGGGATCTGCTTACAGGGGGCATTGTGACATATCTCTGCCCTGATCACCCAGGTGATGTAACTCTTGTCTAGGCTCTGCCTACTGGAGACATTGTGACATATCTCCACACTGATCACCCAGGTGATGTCACTTTTGTCAAGGATATGGCTACAGGGACATTGTGACATATCTCTGCACTGATCACCCAGGTGATGTAACCCTTGTCTAGGCTCTGCCAAAAGGGGGCATTGTGACATAACTCTGCACTGATCACCCAGGTGATGGGACTCTTGTCTAGGCTCTGCCTACAGGGGCATTGTGATATATCTCTGCAGTGATCACGCAGGTGATGTAACTCTTGTCTATATCTGCCTACTGGCGGCATTGTGGCATATTTCTGCACTGATCACCCAGGTGATGGACTCTTGTCTTGGATCTGCCTATGGGGGCATAGTGACATAACTCTGCAATGATCACTCATGTGATGTAACGCTTGTCTAAGCTGTGCCTAAAGGGGAATTGTGACACATATCTCCACTGATCACCCAGGTGATGTAACAATTTTCTGGGATTTGTCTACAGGGGGCTTTGTGACATATCTTTGCACTGATCACCCAGGAGATGTAACTCTTGTCTAGACTCGACCTACAGGGGCTTTGTGACATATTTCTGCACTGATAACCCAGGTGATGTAACTCTTGTCTAGGCTCTGCCTACAGGGGCTTTGTGACATACTTCTGTACTGATCACCCAGGTGATGTAACTCTTGTCTAGGCCCCACCTACAGGGGGTATTGTGACGTATCTCTGCAATGATCACCCAGGTGATGTAACACTCATCTAGGCTCTGCCTACAGGGGCGTTTTGACATAGCTCTGCACAGATCATCTAGGTGATGTAACTCTTGTCCACTCTCTGCCTACAGGGGACATTGTGAAATATCTCTGCACTGATCACCCAGGTGATGGGACTCTTCTCTATACTCTGCCTAGAGGGGGATTTGTGACATATCTCTGCACTGATCACCCAGGTGATGGAAGTCTTGCCTAGGCTCTGTCTATGGGGGCATTGTGTCAAATATCTGCACTGATCACCCAGGTGAAGTAACTCTTGTCTAGGCTCTGTCTACAGGGATTTTTGTGACATATCACTGCACTGATCACCTAGGTGATCTAAACCTTGTATGGGCTTTGCCTACAGAAGGCTTTGTGACATATCTATGCACTGATCTCTGAGGTGATTCAACTCTTGTCTAGGCACTGCCTACAGGGGACACTGGTACATATCTCTGCACTGATCACCCAGGTGATGGACGCTTGTCTTAGATCTGCCTACATGGGCATTCTGACACATCTCTGAACTGATCAACCAAGTGATGAAACTCTTGTCTAGGCTCTGCCTACAGGGGCTTTGTGACACATCTCTGCACTGATCACCCTGAGGAGGGAACTCTTGTCTACGTTCTGCCTACAGGAGGCTTTATGACTAATAATTACACTGATAAACTAGGTGATGTAACACTTGTCTAGGCTCTGCCTACACGGGAATTCTCACATATCTCTGCACTGATAACCTAGGTGATGTAACACTTGTCTAGGCCCTGCCTACAAGGGAATTCTCACGTATCTCTGCACTGATCCCCAAGGTGATGTAACTCCTGTCTAGGTTCAGACTACAGGAGCGTTTTGACACATCTCTGCACTGATCACCCAGGTGATGTAACACTTGTCTAAGCTCTGCCTACAGGGGCATTGTGACAGATCTCTCCAATGCTCACTCAGGAGATGTAAAAATTGTCTGGGCTTTGTCTACAGGGGGCTTTGTGATATATATTTCCACTGCTCAAACAGGTGATGTAACCCTTGTCAAGGTTTGGCTTATAGGGGCTTTGTGAGATATCTCTGCACTGATCAGCCCAGGGAGGGAACACTTGCCTACACTCTGCCTACAGGAGGCTTTATGACTTATCCCTGCACTGATCACTAGGTGATGTAACAATTGTCTAGGCTCTGTCTACACGAGAATTTTAACATATCTCTACACTGATCACCTAAGTGATGTAACCATTCTCTAGGTTCAGTCTACTATGGAGCTCTGAAACACATCTGCACTGATCACCGAAGTTCTGTAAATCAATTTCAGGCTTTTTCTACAGGGGATATTGTGACATATCTCTGCACTCATCACACAAAAGATGCAAATCTTCTATAGGATCCACAGGGAGGGGGCATTTTAATATATCTCTGAACTAATCATCCAGGAGATGTAACTCTAATCCAGGTTTGCCTAGACAGCGTCGGAAGGTGGGGGGAGACATTCAGCCAGAATTTCACGGAAGAACAAGGGCACAGAGAGGCCAGCGAGCTCCCTTGCACGTCAGCCGGGGTGCGCACTGCGCGCAGGTCTAGCCAGGAAGCGGGCAAAGACAGACAGAGGTATGCTTTTGACCGCCAGGCGCTCCGTGCTGGCAGCTGGGAGGCTGCAGGGGCCCGGGCGGGCGGGCGACGGTGGCGCGGGGGCGCAGAGGAGGCGAGCCGCCGGAGCGGTGTCAGGCCCGGACGCTGCGCGGGGCCCGGTGTTTCGCGGGACGGGGGTCTCCACCCAGCCCAGGGGACGACGCGTTTTCCGGGGGTGGGGGGTGGGGGTGGGGAGGGGGCGGTCAGGCGGCGGGGTGGGCTGGTGGAGAGGCAGGAGAGCTCTGCCCGGGCTGCTCCCACAGCCCAGGCGGCTGCCCGCAAACCCGCGCGTGCGCAGTAGGCGGCCCACCTGCTGGTACCTGGGCCGGCTCTGGGATCCCCGGGATGCCCAGGAAAGAATGGCAGTTCTCCGCGGTGTGGAGTCTCTCACCGGGCCTAGACCTAGAAGGCAGGAATCCCAGGCCGGTCAGCCCGGTGGAGGGGGCGGGGCGGAGACACGCCCCTCCGTAGCCAGCCAGGTGTTCCCCGCGAAAGAGAGGCCACCGCCCTGCCCCGAACCACCCGACCCCGTCCCAACCCCGCGTCCTAAAGCTCCTCCAGCAGAGCCCGGTATTCTTCCTCGCTGAGGGGTGCTTCCAGCGAGGCGGCCTCTTCCGAGGCCTCCAGCTCCCCCGGGGCCTCCGTTTCTAGGAGAGGTTGCGCCTGCTGCAGAAACTCCGGGCTCGCCAGGAGCTCATCCAGCAGCAGGCCGCAGGGGAGTGCAGACCAGGGCGCCGGCTCCTGGAGCGCCTGGGAGGGCGCCGGGATGCCTTGCATCTGCCCCTGCCGCGCGGAGGCGGAGGCGTCCGGGGGCGCGGGCTGGGGAGGTGGAGCTGCCCCGGCTTGGGGTTCCCACGCCGCCCCGGCGACCTGGGGACCCCGGCCCCAGCCCCACCACGGACTCCCCTGGGACGTGGGTGGCGCAAGCACCCCTTGGCCCTGCGGCCCCGCTTGAGCGGGCCCAGGCTGTGCCACCGCGCAGGGGCCCGGCAGGCCGTCGCGCTGCGGGTCCCGGTCCTCCCGGCTTTTGCCCGGGTGCGGAGGCCACCGAGGAGCCTGAGGGTGGGAGAGCGCCCCGTCCGGAGGAGCCGGGGCGGCGTAGGCGAAATCCCCGCGCGCCGGGGCAGGTTGGGAGATCCCCTCTGCCGGCGCGGCCTGGCTGGGCTGCAGCGCGGGGGCGGCCCTCGCTGCCTGGCTCACGAAAGCCCCCTGTGGGAGAGCCCCAGGCGCGCAGGGCACGTGGGGTGCGGGAAGCCCCGTTCCCCACGCGCCGGTGTGGGCGAAGGCGACCCACGAGGGAGCAGGGTGACCCCCGCCGGGGGCCGCGCTGCACAGGCCGCCTGCCTGCGCGGGCGCCCTGCCACCCTGTCCCGGGTGCCTGGCCCTTCGATTCTGAAACCAGATCTGAATCCTGGACTCCGGGAGGCCCGTCTCTCTGGCCAGCTCCTCCCGGGCGGCGATGCCTGGAAAGCGATCCTTCTCAAAGGCTCGGAGGAGCAGGGCGGTCTGGGATCCGGTGACGGCGGTCCGCTTTCGCCGGCCTTCTGGCGGGCCGCGTCTCCCGGGCCAGGGCCGAGATTCCCGCCGGTGCTGCCTCAGCTGGCGTGACCTCTCATTCTGAAACCAAATCTGGACCCTGGGCTCCGGAATGCCGATGGCCTGGGCCAGCCGTTCTCTGGTGGCGATGCCCGGGTACGGGTTCCGCTCAAAGCAGGCTCGCAGGGCCTCGCTTTGGCTCGGGGTCCAAACGAGTCTCCGTCGCCGTCCTCGTCCCCGGGCTTCCGCGGGGAGGGTGCTGTCCGAGGGTGTCGGGAGGGCCATCGCGGTGAGCCCCGGCCGGAATTTCACGGACGGACGCGGGCAGAGAGAGGCCGGCGGGCTCCCGTGCACCTCAGCCGGACTGTGCACTGCGGCAGGTGCAGCCAGGAGGCCTGCCCGGACAGCCAGCCAGCCAGCCAGCCAGCCGCCCTTGTAAAGGCCCACAGGCAGGCAGGCTCCACCCCTTCATGAATGGCGGTGAGCCCCCCTGGGACAGCCCGCCCCACCCCGGAAGGGACCCAGGGCGTCGAGGCCTGGGGCCGGCCGGCGGGGTGGTGGTGGTGGTGGTGGTGGTGGGGGGGGGGGTGGTGGGGGAGGGCGTGGTGGCGGTGGTGGTGGTGGGGCCGGAGAGACGAAGAGGAAGGGGGAGAGGGGGGAGGGGGGAGGGGGGCGCGTTTCGGGGGCCGGCTCTCCGGACCTCTCCAGGGATCCCGCGGGAACGGGAAGCCGCTCTCTGGGCTCCCACGCGTCGGCAGCAGGGAGAAACCAGCCTGGGAGGGTGGAGGGGAGTGTGGAACTGAACCTCCGTGGGAGTCTTGAGTGTGCCAGGCCCTCTCTCCGTGAAGGAGGCAATGCCTGTGGGCGTCGCCGTTGCCGGGACGGTCTCGCACACGCAGGCGTGTGGCTCTCGTTCATTTCCACGTAGAAGACCAGAGCGAGACCCCAGAGAGGAGATGCCTCCCCGGCGTGATGGCCTGACGATGGATTCCCGCGTGCGGCAACGTGGGGAGTCTGCAGTGTGGCCGGTTTGGAACCTGGCAAGGAGAGCGAAGGCACCATGCCGGGCTTGCACCCTTCCCTGCATGTTTCCGGGTGCCCGCAGAGCTCCGGGAGCAAACAGTCGGCATGGCCAGCCTTTCGGGGGCCGGAGAGACGTGAGCAACAGGCCGCCTTGCGGAGGGCAAAGCCACGCGGAAACCAAAATCACGCCTCCGTCGTCCTGCGTGTGGCTCCTCCGTGGCCGGGGCTGTCGGCCTCGCGCCGCGTTGCAGGGCTCAGCCTGGGGATGTGCGGTCTGTGAACCGCGCGGGTGAAAACCCGACGGCAACCCGAGTCCCGGTCTTTTGTCCCGGAGGAAACCGCCCACTCCCTGGGCCCCGGAACCGGGGCGAATGGGTGGTGCCCCGCCGGCCGGCGCGGCGGCTGTGGGCCCAGCCCTCAGCCCGCGCCGGACGCTGACCGTTTTCCCGGAGGGCGGGGGTCCCGCTACTCCCGGAGGCCGAGGACCGCTTTTCCTCCCTGCCTTCCTCCCCCCGTCCGTCCCCGGCTCCCTCCCGCCCGCCCCCAGTCCCCGCGTCGCTCTGTCTTTCCCTCCGTTCCTCCCTGCCTCCCTGCCTCCCTCCCTCCCTCCTAACGTCCCTCCGCCCGTCCTTCCGCCCCTCTAGGTCTCCCGTTCCTCTCTCCATCTCTGCCCGCCTTCCCTCCCGCCTGGAACGCTCAGCGTCCCCGGTGTGCGCCGGGCCTGGGGTCTGCGTTCCGCCGCCAGGCGCTCCGTGCTGGCACCTGGGCGGCTGCAGGGGCCCGGGCGGGCGGGCGACGGTGGCGCGGGGGCGCAGAGGAGGCGAGCCGCCGGAGCGGTGTCAGGCCCGGACGCTGCGCGGGGCCAGGTGTTTCGCGGGACGGGGGTCTCCACCCAGCCCAGGGGACGACGCGTTTTCCGGGGGTGGGGGGTGGGGGTGGGGAGGGGGCGGTCAGGCGGCGGGGTGGGCTGGTGGAGAGGCAGGAGAGCTCTGCCCGGGCTGCTCCCACAGCCCAGGCGGCTGCCCGCAAACCCGCGCGTGCGCAGTAGGCGGCCCACCTGCTGGTACCTGGGCCGGCTCTGGGATCCCCGGGATGCCCAGGAAAGAATGGCAGTTCTCCGCGGTGTGGAGTCTCTCACCGGGCCTAGACCTAGAAGGCAGGAATCCCAGGCCGGTCAGCCCGGTGGAGGGGGCGGGGCGGAGACACGCCCCTCCGTAGCCAGCCAGGTGTTCCCCGCGAAAGAGAGGCCACCGCCCTGCCCCGAACCACCCGACCCCGTCCCAACCCCGCGTCCTAAAGCTCCTCCAGCAGAGCCCGGTATTCTTCCTCGCTGAGGGGTGCTTCCAGCGAGGCGGCCTCTTCCGAGGCCTCCAGCTCCCCCGGGGCCTCCGTTTCTAGGAGAGGTTGCGCCTGCTGCAGAAACTCCGGGCTCGCCAGGAGCTCATCCAGCAGCAGGCCGCAGGGGAGTGCAGACCAGGGCGCCGGCTCCTGGAGCGCCTGGGAGGGCGCCGGGATGCCTTGCATCTGCCCCTGCCGCGCGGAGGCGGAGGCGTCCGGGGGCGCGGGCTGGGGAGGTGGAGCTGCCCCGGCTTGGGGTTCCCACGCCGCCCCGGCGACCTGGGGACCCCGGCCCCAGCCCCACCACGGACTCCCCTGGGACGTGGGTGGCGCAAGCACCCCTTGGCCCTGCGGCCCCGCTTGAGCGGGCCCAGGCTGTGCCACCGCGCAGGGGCCCGGCAGGCCGTCGCGCTGCGGGTCCCGGTCCTCCCGGCTTTTGCCCGGGTGCGGAGGCCACCGAGGAGCCTGAGGGTGGGAGAGCGCCCCGTCCGGAGGAGCCGGGGCGGCGTAGGCGAAATCCCCGCGCGCCGGGGCAGGTTGGGAGATCCCCTCTGCCGGCGCGGCCTGGCTGGGCTGCAGCGCGGGGGCGGCCCTCGCTGCCTGGCTCACGAAAGCCCCCTGTGGGAGAGCCCCAGGCGCGCAGGGCACGTGGGGTGCGGGAAGCCCCGTTCCCCACGCGCCGGTGTGGGCGAAGGCGACCCACGAGGGAGCAGGGTGACCCCCGCCGGGGGCCGCGCTGCACAGGCCGCCTGCCTGCGCGGGCGCCCTGCCACCCTGTCCCGGGTGCCTGGCCCTTCGATTCTGAAACCAGATCTGAATCCTGGACTCCGGGAGGCCCGTCTCTCTGGCCAGCTCCTCCCGGGCGGCGATGCCTGGAAAGCGATCCTTCTCAAAGGCTCGGAGGAGCAGGGCGGTCTGGGATCCGGTGACGGCGGTCCGCTTTCGCCGGCCTTCTGGCGGGCCGCGTCTCCCGGGCCAGGGCCGAGATTCCCGCCGGTGCTGCCTCAGCTGGCGTGACCTCTCATTCTGAAACCAAATCTGGACCCTGGGCTCCGGAATGCCGATGGCCTGGGCCAGCCGTTCTCTGGTGGCGATGCCCGGGTACGGGTTCCGCTCAAAGCAGGCTCGCAGGGCCTCGCTTTGGCTCGGGGTCCAAACGAGTCTCCGTCGCCGTCCTCGTCCCCGGGCTTCCGCGGGGAGGGTGCTGTCCGAGGGTGTCGGGAGGGCCATCGCGGTGAGCCCCGGCCGGAATTTCACGGACGGACGCGGGCAGAGAGAGGCCGGCGGGCTCCCGTGCACCTCAGCCGGACTGTGCACTGCGGCAGGTGCAGCCAGGAGGCCTGCCCGGACAGCCAGCCAGCCAGCCAGCCAGCCGCCCTTGTAAAGGCCCACAGGCAGGCAGGCTCCACCCCTTCATGAATGGCGGTGAGCCCCCCTGGGACAGCCCGCCCCACCCCGGAAGGGACCCAGGGCGTCGAGGCCTGGGGCCGGCCGGCGGGGTGGTGGTGGTGGTGGTGGTGGTGGGGGGGGGGGTGGTGGGGGAGGGCGTGGTGGCGGTGGTGGTGGTGGGGCCGGAGAGACGAAGAGGAAGGGGGAGAGGGGGGAGGGGGGAGGGGGGCGCGTTTCGGGGGCCGGCTCTCCGGACCTCTCCAGGGATCCCGCGGGAACGGGAAGCCGCTCTCTGGGCTCCCACGCGTCGGCAGCAGGGAGAAACCAGCCTGGGAGGGTGGAGGGGAGTGTGGAACTGAACCTCCGTGGGAGTCTTGAGTGTGCCAGGCCCTCTCTCCGTGAAGGAGGCAATGCCTGTGGGCGTCGCCGTTGCCGGGACGGTCTCGCACACGCAGGCGTGTGGCTCTCGTTCATTTCCACGTAGAAGACCAGAGCGAGACCCCAGAGAGGAGATGCCTCCCCGGCGTGATGGCCTGACGATGGATTCCCGCGTGCGGCAACGTGGGGAGTCTGCAGTGTGGCCGGTTTGGAACCTGGCAAGGAGAGCGAAGGCACCATGCCGGGCTTGCACCCTTCCCTGCATGTTTCCGGGTGCCCGCAGAGCTCCGGGAGCAAACAGTCGGCATGGCCAGCCTTTCGGGGGCCGGAGAGACGTGAGCAACAGGCCGCCTTGCGGAGGGCAAAGCCACGCGGAAACCAAAATCACGCCTCCGTCGTCCTGCGTGTGGCTCCTCCGTGGCCGGGGCTGTCGGCCTCGCGCCGCGTTGCAGGGCTCAGCCTGGGGATGTGCGGTCTGTGAACCGCGCGGGTGAAAACCCGACGGCAACCCGAGTCCCGGTCTTTTGTCCCGGAGGAAACCGCCCACTCCCTGGGCCCCGGAACCGGGGCGAATGGGTGGTGCCCCGCCGGCCGGCGCGGCGGCTGTGGGCCCAGCCCTCAGCCCGCGCCGGACGCTGACCGTTTTCCCGGAGGGCGGGGGTCCCGCTACTCCCGGAGGCCGAGGACCGCTTTTCCTCCCTGCCTTCCTCCCCCCGTCCGTCCCCGGCTCCCTCCCGCCCGCCCCCAGTCCCCGCGTCGCTCTGTCTTTCCCTCCGTTCCTCCCTGCCTCCCTGCCTCCCTCCCTCCCTCCTAACGTCCCTCCGCCCGTCCTTCCGCCCCTCTAGGTCTCCCGTTCCTCTCTCCATCTCTGCCCGCCTTCCCTCCCGCCTGGAACGCTCAGCGTCCCCGGTGTGCGCCGGGCCTGGGGTCTGCGTTCCGCCGCCAGGCGCTCCGTGCTGGCACCTGGGCGGCTGCAGGGGCCCGGGCGGGCGGGCGACGGTGGCGCGGGGGCGCAGAGGAGGCGAGCCGCCGGAGCGGTGTCAGGCCCGGACGCTGCGCGGGGCCAGGTGTTTCGCGGGACGGGGGTCTCCACCCAGCCCAGGGGACGACGCGTTTTCCGGGGGTGGGGGGTGGGGGTGGGGAGGGGGCGGTCAGGCGGCGGGGTGGGCTGGTGGAGAGGCAGGAGAGCTCTGCCCGGGCTGCTCCCACAGCCCAGGCGGCTGCCCGCAAACCCGCGCGTGCGCAGTAGGCGGCCCACCTGCTGGTACCTGGGCCGGCTCTGGGATCCCCGGGATGCCCAGGAAAGAATGGCAGTTCTCCGCGGTGTGGAGTCTCTCACCGGGCCTAGACCTAGAAGGCAGGAATCCCAGGCCGGTCAGCCCGGTGGAGGGGGCGGGGCGGAGACACGCCCCTCCGTAGCCAGCCAGGTGTTCCCCGCGAAAGAGAGGCCACCGCCCTGCCCCGAACCACCCGACCCCGTCCCAACCCCGCGTCCTAAAGCTCCTCCAGCAGAGCCCGGTATTCTTCCTCGCTGAGGGGTGCTTCCAGCGAGGCGGCCTCTTCCGAGGCCTCCAGCTCCCCCGGGGCCTCCGTTTCTAGGAGAGGTTGCGCCTGCTGCAGAAACTCCGGGCTCGCCAGGAGCTCATCCAGCAGCAGGCCGCAGGGGAGTGCAGACCAGGGCGCCGGCTCCTGGAGCGCCTGGGAGGGCGCCGGGATGCCTTGCATCTGCCCCTGCCGCGCGGAGGCGGAGGCGTCCGGGGGCGCGGGCTGGGGAGGTGGAGCTGCCCCGGCTTGGGGTTCCCACGCCGCCCCGGCGACCTGGGGACCCCGGCCCCAGCCCCACCACGGACTCCCCTGGGACGTGGGTGGCGCAAGCACCCCTTGGCCCTGCGGCCCCGCTTGAGCGGGCCCAGGCTGTGCCACCGCGCAGGGGCCCGGCAGGCCGTCGCGCTGCGGGTCCCGGTCCTCCCGGCTTTTGCCCGGGTGCGGAGGCCACCGAGGAGCCTGAGGGTGGGAGAGCGCCCCGTCCGGAGGAGCCGGGGCGGCGTAGGCGAAATCCCCGCGCGCCGGGGCAGGTTGGGAGATCCCCTCTGCCGGCGCGGCCTGGCTGGGCTGCAGCGCGGGGGCGGCCCTCGCTGCCTGGCTCACGAAAGCCCCCTGTGGGAGAGCCCCAGGCGCGCAGGGCACGTGGGGTGCGGGAAGCCCCGTTCCCCACGCGCCGGTGTGGGCGAAGGCGACCCACGAGGGAGCAGGGTGACCCCCGCCGGGGGCCGCGCTGCACAGGCCGCCTGCCTGCGCGGGCGCCCTGCCACCCTGTCCCGGGTGCCTGGCCCTTCGATTCTGAAACCAGATCTGAATCCTGGACTCCGGGAGGCCCGTCTCTCTGGCCAGCTCCTCCCGGGCGGCGATGCCTGGAAAGCGATCCTTCTCAAAGGCTCGGAGGAGCAGGGCGGTCTGGGATCCGGTGACGGCGGTCCGCTTTCGCCGGCCTTCTGGCGGGCCGCGTCTCCCGGGCCAGGGCCGAGATTCCCGCCGGTGCTGCCTCAGCTGGCGTGACCTCTCATTCTGAAACCAAATCTGGACCCTGGGCTCCGGAATGCCGATGGCCTGGGCCAGCCGTTCTCTGGTGGCGATGCCCGGGTACGGGTTCCGCTCAAAGCAGGCTCGCAGGGCCTCGCTTTGGCTCGGGGTCCAAACGAGTCTCCGTCGCCGTCCTCGTCCCCGGGCTTCCGCGGGGAGGGTGCTGTCCGAGGGTGTCGGGAGGGCCATCGCGGTGAGCCCCGGCCGGAATTTCACGGACGGACGCGGGCAGAGAGAGGCCGGCGGGCTCCCGTGCACCTCAGCCGGACTGTGCACTGCGGCAGGTGCAGCCAGGAGGCCTGCCCGGACAGCCAGCCAGCCAGCCAGCCAGCCGCCCTTGTAAAGGCCCACAGGCAGGCAGGCTCCACCCCTTCATGAATGGCGGTGAGCCCCCCTGGGACAGCCCGCCCCACCCCGGAAGGGACCCAGGGCGTCGAGGCCTGGGGCCGGCCGGCGGGGTGGTGGTGGTGGTGGTGGTGGTGGGGGGGGGGGTGGTGGGGGAGGGCGTGGTGGCGGTGGTGGTGGTGGGGCCGGAGAGACGAAGAGGAAGGGGGAGAGGGGGGAGGGGGGAGGGGGGCGCGTTTCGGGGGCCGGCTCTCCGGACCTCTCCAGGGATCCCGCGGGAACGGGAAGCCGCTCTCTGGGCTCCCACGCGTCGGCAGCAGGGAGAAACCAGCCTGGGAGGGTGGAGGGGAGTGTGGAACTGAACCTCCGTGGGAGTCTTGAGTGTGCCAGGCCCTCTCTCCGTGAAGGAGGCAATGCCTGTGGGCGTCGCCGTTGCCGGGACGGTCTCGCACACGCAGGCGTGTGGCTCTCGTTCATTTCCACGTAGAAGACCAGAGCGAGACCCCAGAGAGGAGATGCCTCCCCGGCGTGATGGCCTGACGATGGATTCCCGCGTGCGGCAACGTGGGGAGTCTGCAGTGTGGCCGGTTTGGAACCTGGCAAGGAGAGCGAAGGCACCATGCCGGGCTTGCACCCTTCCCTGCATGTTTCCGGGTGCCCGCAGAGCTCCGGGAGCAAACAGTCGGCATGGCCAGCCTTTCGGGGGCCGGAGAGACGTGAGCAACAGGCCGCCTTGCGGAGGGCAAAGCCACGCGGAAACCAAAATCACGCCTCCGTCGTCCTGCGTGTGGCTCCTCCGTGGCCGGGGCTGTCGGCCTCGCGCCGCGTTGCAGGGCTCAGCCTGGGGATGTGCGGTCTGTGAACCGCGCGGGTGAAAACCCGACGGCAACCCGAGTCCCGGTCTTTTGTCCCGGAGGAAACCGCCCACTCCCTGGGCCCCGGAACCGGGGCGAATGGGTGGTGCCCCGCCGGCCGGCGCGGCGGCTGTGGGCCCAGCCCTCAGCCCGCGCCGGACGCTGACCGTTTTCCCGGAGGGCGGGGGTCCCGCTACTCCCGGAGGCCGAGGACCGCTTTTCCTCCCTGCCTTCCTCCCCCCGTCCGTCCCCGGCTCCCTCCCGCCCGCCCCCAGTCCCCGCGTCGCTCTGTCTTTCCCTCCGTTCCTCCCTGCCTCCCTGCCTCCCTCCCTCCCTCCTAACGTCCCTCCGCCCGTCCTTCCGCCCCTCTAGGTCTCCCGTTCCTCTCTCCATCTCTGCCCGCCTTCCCTCCCGCCTGGAACGCTCAGCGTCCCCGGTGTGCGCCGGGCCTGGGGTCTGCGTTCCGCCGCCAGGCGCTCCGTGCTGGCACCTGGGCGGCTGCAGGGGCCCGGGCGGGCGGGCGACGGTGGCGCGGGGGCGCAGAGGAGGCGAGCCGCCGGAGCGGTGTCAGGCCCGGACGCTGCGCGGGGCCAGGTGTTTCGCGGGACGGGGGTCTCCACCCAGCCCAGGGGACGACGCGTTTTCCGGGGGTGGGGGGTGGGGGTGGGGAGGGGGCGGTCAGGCGGCGGGGTGGGCTGGTGGAGAGGCAGGAGAGCTCTGCCCGGGCTGCTCCCACAGCCCAGGCGGCTGCCCGCAAACCCGCGCGTGCGCAGTAGGCGGCCCACCTGCTGGTACCTGGGCCGGCTCTGGGATCCCCGGGATGCCCAGGAAAGAATGGCAGTTCTCCGCGGTGTGGAGTCTCTCACCGGGCCTAGACCTAGAAGGCAGGAATCCCAGGCCGGTCAGCCCGGTGGAGGGGGCGGGGCGGAGACACGCCCCTCCGTAGCCAGCCAGGTGTTCCCCGCGAAAGAGAGGCCACCGCCCTGCCCCGAACCACCCGACCCCGTCCCAACCCCGCGTCCTAAAGCTCCTCCAGCAGAGCCCGGTATTCTTCCTCGCTGAGGGGTGCTTCCAGCGAGGCGGCCTCTTCCGAGGCCTCCAGCTCCCCCGGGGCCTCCGTTTCTAGGAGAGGTTGCGCCTGCTGCAGAAACTCCGGGCTCGCCAGGAGCTCATCCAGCAGCAGGCCGCAGGGGAGTGCAGACCAGGGCGCCGGCTCCTGGAGCGCCTGGGAGGGCGCCGGGATGCCTTGCATCTGCCCCTGCCGCGCGGAGGCGGAGGCGTCCGGGGGCGCGGGCTGGGGAGGTGGAGCTGCCCCGGCTTGGGGTTCCCACGCCGCCCCGGCGACCTGGGGACCCCGGCCCCAGCCCCACCACGGACTCCCCTGGGACGTGGGTGGCGCAAGCACCCCTTGGCCCTGCGGCCCCGCTTGAGCGGGCCCAGGCTGTGCCACCGCGCAGGGGCCCGGCAGGCCGTCGCGCTGCGGGTCCCGGTCCTCCCGGCTTTTGCCCGGGTGCGGAGGCCACCGAGGAGCCTGAGGGTGGGAGAGCGCCCCGTCCGGAGGAGCCGGGGCGGCGTAGGCGAAATCCCCGCGCGCCGGGGCAGGTTGGGAGATCCCCTCTGCCGGCGCGGCCTGGCTGGGCTGCAGCGCGGGGGCGGCCCTCGCTGCCTGGCTCACGAAAGCCCCCTGTGGGAGAGCCCCAGGCGCGCAGGGCACGTGGGGTGCGGGAAGCCCCGTTCCCCACGCGCCGGTGTGGGCGAAGGCGACCCACGAGGGAGCAGGGTGACCCCCGCCGGGGGCCGCGCTGCACAGGCCGCCTGCCTGCGCGGGCGCCCTGCCACCCTGTCCCGGGTGCCTGGCCCTTCGATTCTGAAACCAGATCTGAATCCTGGACTCCGGGAGGCCCGTCTCTCTGGCCAGCTCCTCCCGGGCGGCGATGCCTGGAAAGCGATCCTTCTCAAAGGCTCGGAGGAGCAGGGCGGTCTGGGATCCGGTGACGGCGGTCCGCTTTCGCCGGCCTTCTGGCGGGCCGCGTCTCCCGGGCCAGGGCCGAGATTCCCGCCGGTGCTGCCTCAGCTGGCGTGACCTCTCATTCTGAAACCAAATCTGGACCCTGGGCTCCGGAATGCCGATGGCCTGGGCCAGCCGTTCTCTGGTGGCGATGCCCGGGTACGGGTTCCGCTCAAAGCAGGCTCGCAGGGCCTCGCTTTGGCTCGGGGTCCAAACGAGTCTCCGTCGCCGTCCTCGTCCCCGGGCTTCCGCGGGGAGGGTGCTGTCCGAGGGTGTCGGGAGGGCCATCGCGGTGAGCCCCGGCCGGAATTTCACGGACGGACGCGGGCAGAGAGAGGCCGGCGGGCTCCCGTGCACCTCAGCCGGACTGTGCACTGCGGCAGGTGCAGCCAGGAGGCCTGCCCGGACAGCCAGCCAGCCAGCCAGCCAGCCGCCCTTGTAAAGGCCCACAGGCAGGCAGGCTCCACCCCTTCATGAATGGCGGTGAGCCCCCCTGGGACAGCCCGCCCCACCCCGGAAGGGACCCAGGGCGTCGAGGCCTGGGGCCGGCCGGCGGGGTGGTGGTGGTGGTGGTGGTGGTGGGGGGGGGGGTGGTGGGGGAGGGCGTGGTGGCGGTGGTGGTGGTGGGGCCGGAGAGACGAAGAGGAAGGGGGAGAGGGGGGAGGGGGGAGGGGGGCGCGTTTCGGGGGCCGGCTCTCCGGACCTCTCCAGGGATCCCGCGGGAACGGGAAGCCGCTCTCTGGGCTCCCACGCGTCGGCAGCAGGGAGAAACCAGCCTGGGAGGGTGGAGGGGAGTGTGGAACTGAACCTCCGTGGGAGTCTTGAGTGTGCCAGGCCCTCTCTCCGTGAAGGAGGCAATGCCTGTGGGCGTCGCCGTTGCCGGGACGGTCTCGCACACGCAGGCGTGTGGCTCTCGTTCATTTCCACGTAGAAGACCAGAGCGAGACCCCAGAGAGGAGATGCCTCCCCGGCGTGATGGCCTGACGATGGATTCCCGCGTGCGGCAACGTGGGGAGTCTGCAGTGTGGCCGGTTTGGAACCTGGCAAGGAGAGCGAAGGCACCATGCCGGGCTTGCACCCTTCCCTGCATGTTTCCGGGTGCCCGCAGAGCTCCGGGAGCAAACAGTCGGCATGGCCAGCCTTTCGGGGGCCGGAGAGACGTGAGCAACAGGCCGCCTTGCGGAGGGCAAAGCCACGCGGAAACCAAAATCACGCCTCCGTCGTCCTGCGTGTGGCTCCTCCGTGGCCGGGGCTGTCGGCCTCGCGCCGCGTTGCAGGGCTCAGCCTGGGGATGTGCGGTCTGTGAACCGCGCGGGTGAAAACCCGACGGCAACCCGAGTCCCGGTCTTTTGTCCCGGAGGAAACCGCCCACTCCCTGGGCCCCGGAACCGGGGCGAATGGGTGGTGCCCCGCCGGCCGGCGCGGCGGCTGTGGGCCCAGCCCTCAGCCCGCGCCGGACGCTGACCGTTTTCCCGGAGGGCGGGGGTCCCGCTACTCCCGGAGGCCGAGGACCGCTTTTCCTCCCTGCCTTCCTCCCCCCGTCCGTCCCCGGCTCCCTCCCGCCCGCCCCCAGTCCCCGCGTCGCTCTGTCTTTCCCTCCGTTCCTCCCTGCCTCCCTGCCTCCCTCCCTCCCTCCTAACGTCCCTCCGCCCGTCCTTCCGCCCCTCTAGGTCTCCCGTTCCTCTCTCCATCTCTGCCCGCCTTCCCTCCCGCCTGGAACGCTCAGCGTCCCCGGTGTGCGCCGGGCCTGGGGTCTGCGTTCCGCCGCCAGGCGCTCCGTGCTGGCACCTGGGCGGCTGCAGGGGCCCGGGCGGGCGGGCGACGGTGGCGCGGGGGCGCAGAGGAGGCGAGCCGCCGGAGCGGTGTCAGGCCCGGACGCTGCGCGGGGCCAGGTGTTTCGCGGGACGGGGGTCTCCACCCAGCCCAGGGGACGACGCGTTTTCCGGGGGTGGGGGGTGGGGGTGGGGAGGGGGCGGTCAGGCGGCGGGGTGGGCTGGTGGAGAGGCAGGAGAGCTCTGCCCGGGCTGCTCCCACAGCCCAGGCGGCTGCCCGCAAACCCGCGCGTGCGCAGTAGGCGGCCCACCTGCTGGTACCTGGGCCGGCTCTGGGATCCCCGGGATGCCCAGGAAAGAATGGCAGTTCTCCGCGGTGTGGAGTCTCTCACCGGGCCTAGACCTAGAAGGCAGGAATCCCAGGCCGGTCAGCCCGGTGGAGGGGGCGGGGCGGAGACACGCCCCTCCGTAGCCAGCCAGGTGTTCCCCGCGAAAGAGAGGCCACCGCCCTGCCCCGAACCACCCGACCCCGTCCCAACCCCGCGTCCTAAAGCTCCTCCAGCAGAGCCCGGTATTCTTCCTCGCTGAGGGGTGCTTCCAGCGAGGCGGCCTCTTCCGAGGCCTCCAGCTCCCCCGGGGCCTCCGTTTCTAGGAGAGGTTGCGCCTGCTGCAGAAACTCCGGGCTCGCCAGGAGCTCATCCAGCAGCAGGCCGCAGGGGAGTGCAGACCAGGGCGCCGGCTCCTGGAGCGCCTGGGAGGGCGCCGGGATGCCTTGCATCTGCCCCTGCCGCGCGGAGGCGGAGGCGTCCGGGGGCGCGGGCTGGGGAGGTGGAGCTGCCCCGGCTTGGGGTTCCCACGCCGCCCCGGCGACCTGGGGACCCCGGCCCCAGCCCCACCACGGACTCCCCTGGGACGTGGGTGGCGCAAGCACCCCTTGGCCCTGCGGCCCCGCTTGAGCGGGCCCAGGCTGTGCCACCGCGCAGGGGCCCGGCAGGCCGTCGCGCTGCGGGTCCCGGTCCTCCCGGCTTTTGCCCGGGTGCGGAGGCCACCGAGGAGCCTGAGGGTGGGAGAGCGCCCCGTCCGGAGGAGCCGGGGCGGCGTAGGCGAAATCCCCGCGCGCCGGGGCAGGTTGGGAGATCCCCTCTGCCGGCGCGGCCTGGCTGGGCTGCAGCGCGGGGGCGGCCCTCGCTGCCTGGCTCACGAAAGCCCCCTGTGGGAGAGCCCCAGGCGCGCAGGGCACGTGGGGTGCGGGAAGCCCCGTTCCCCACGCGCCGGTGTGGGCGAAGGCGACCCACGAGGGAGCAGGGTGACCCCCGCCGGGGGCCGCGCTGCACAGGCCGCCTGCCTGCGCGGGCGCCCTGCCACCCTGTCCCGGGTGCCTGGCCCTTCGATTCTGAAACCAGATCTGAATCCTGGACTCCGGGAGGCCCGTCTCTCTGGCCAGCTCCTCCCGGGCGGCGATGCCTGGAAAGCGATCCTTCTCAAAGGCTCGGAGGAGCAGGGCGGTCTGGGATCCGGTGACGGCGGTCCGCTTTCGCCGGCCTTCTGGCGGGCCGCGTCTCCCGGGCCAGGGCCGAGATTCCCGCCGGTGCTGCCTCAGCTGGCGTGACCTCTCATTCTGAAACCAAATCTGGACCCTGGGCTCCGGAATGCCGATGGCCTGGGCCAGCCGTTCTCTGGTGGCGATGCCCGGGTACGGGTTCCGCTCAAAGCAGGCTCGCAGGGCCTCGCTTTGGCTCGGGGTCCAAACGAGTCTCCGTCGCCGTCCTCGTCCCCGGGCTTCCGCGGGGAGGGTGCTGTCCGAGGGTGTCGGGAGGGCCATCGCGGTGAGCCCCGGCCGGAATTTCACGGACGGACGCGGGCAGAGAGAGGCCGGCGGGCTCCCGTGCACCTCAGCCGGACTGTGCACTGCGGCAGGTGCAGCCAGGAGGCCTGCCCGGACAGCCAGCCAGCCAGCCAGCCAGCCGCCCTTGTAAAGGCCCACAGGCAGGCAGGCTCCACCCCTTCATGAATGGCGGTGAGCCCCCCTGGGACAGCCCGCCCCACCCCGGAAGGGACCCAGGGCGTCGAGGCCTGGGGCCGGCCGGCGGGGTGGTGGTGGTGGTGGTGGTGGTGGGGGGGGGGGTGGTGGGGGAGGGCGTGGTGGCGGTGGTGGTGGTGGGGCCGGAGAGACGAAGAGGAAGGGGGAGAGGGGGGAGGGGGGAGGGGGGCGCGTTTCGGGGGCCGGCTCTCCGGACCTCTCCAGGGATCCCGCGGGAACGGGAAGCCGCTCTCTGGGCTCCCACGCGTCGGCAGCAGGGAGAAACCAGCCTGGGAGGGTGGAGGGGAGTGTGGAACTGAACCTCCGTGGGAGTCTTGAGTGTGCCAGGCCCTCTCTCCGTGAAGGAGGCAATGCCTGTGGGCGTCGCCGTTGCCGGGACGGTCTCGCACACGCAGGCGTGTGGCTCTCGTTCATTTCCACGTAGAAGACCAGAGCGAGACCCCAGAGAGGAGATGCCTCCCCGGCGTGATGGCCTGACGATGGATTCCCGCGTGCGGCAACGTGGGGAGTCTGCAGTGTGGCCGGTTTGGAACCTGGCAAGGAGAGCGAAGGCACCATGCCGGGCTTGCACCCTTCCCTGCATGTTTCCGGGTGCCCGCAGAGCTCCGGGAGCAAACAGTCGGCATGGCCAGCCTTTCGGGGGCCGGAGAGACGTGAGCAACAGGCCGCCTTGCGGAGGGCAAAGCCACGCGGAAACCAAAATCACGCCTCCGTCGTCCTGCGTGTGGCTCCTCCGTGGCCGGGGCTGTCGGCCTCGCGCCGCGTTGCAGGGCTCAGCCTGGGGATGTGCGGTCTGTGAACCGCGCGGGTGAAAACCCGACGGCAACCCGAGTCCCGGTCTTTTGTCCCGGAGGAAACCGCCCACTCCCTGGGCCCCGGAACCGGGGCGAATGGGTGGTGCCCCGCCGGCCGGCGCGGCGGCTGTGGGCCCAGCCCTCAGCCCGCGCCGGACGCTGACCGTTTTCCCGGAGGGCGGGGGTCCCGCTACTCCCGGAGGCCGAGGACCGCTTTTCCTCCCTGCCTTCCTCCCCCCGTCCGTCCCCGGCTCCCTCCCGCCCGCCCCCAGTCCCCGCGTCGCTCTGTCTTTCCCTCCGTTCCTCCCTGCCTCCCTGCCTCCCTCCCTCCCTCCTAACGTCCCTCCGCCCGTCCTTCCGCCCCTCTAGGTCTCCCGTTCCTCTCTCCATCTCTGCCCGCCTTCCCTCCCGCCTGGAACGCTCAGCGTCCCCGGTGTGCGCCGGGCCTGGGGTCTGCGTTCCGCCGCCAGGCGCTCCGTGCTGGCACCTGGGCGGCTGCAGGGGCCCGGGCGGGCGGGCGACGGTGGCGCGGGGGCGCAGAGGAGGCGAGCCGCCGGAGCGGTGTCAGGCCCGGACGCTGCGCGGGGCCAGGTGTTTCGCGGGACGGGGGTCTCCACCCAGCCCAGGGGACGACGCGTTTTCCGGGGGTGGGGGGTGGGGGTGGGGAGGGGGCGGTCAGGCGGCGGGGTGGGCTGGTGGAGAGGCAGGAGAGCTCTGCCCGGGCTGCTCCCACAGCCCAGGCGGCTGCCCGCAAACCCGCGCGTGCGCAGTAGGCGGCCCACCTGCTGGTACCTGGGCCGGCTCTGGGATCCCCGGGATGCCCAGGAAAGAATGGCAGTTCTCCGCGGTGTGGAGTCTCTCACCGGGCCTAGACCTAGAAGGCAGGAATCCCAGGCCGGTCAGCCCGGTGGAGGGGGCGGGGCGGAGACACGCCCCTCCGTAGCCAGCCAGGTGTTCCCCGCGAAAGAGAGGCCACCGCCCTGCCCCGAACCACCCGACCCCGTCCCAACCCCGCGTCCTAAAGCTCCTCCAGCAGAGCCCGGTATTCTTCCTCGCTGAGGGGTGCTTCCAGCGAGGCGGCCTCTTCCGAGGCCTCCAGCTCCCCCGGGGCCTCCGTTTCTAGGAGAGGTTGCGCCTGCTGCAGAAACTCCGGGCTCGCCAGGAGCTCATCCAGCAGCAGGCCGCAGGGGAGTGCAGACCAGGGCGCCGGCTCCTGGAGCGCCTGGGAGGGCGCCGGGATGCCTTGCATCTGCCCCTGCCGCGCGGAGGCGGAGGCGTCCGGGGGCGCGGGCTGGGGAGGTGGAGCTGCCCCGGCTTGGGGTTCCCACGCCGCCCCGGCGACCTGGGGACCCCGGCCCCAGCCCCACCACGGACTCCCCTGGGACGTGGGTGGCGCAAGCACCCCTTGGCCCTGCGGCCCCGCTTGAGCGGGCCCAGGCTGTGCCACCGCGCAGGGGCCCGGCAGGCCGTCGCGCTGCGGGTCCCGGTCCTCCCGGCTTTTGCCCGGGTGCGGAGGCCACCGAGGAGCCTGAGGGTGGGAGAGCGCCCCGTCCGGAGGAGCCGGGGCGGCGTAGGCGAAATCCCCGCGCGCCGGGGCAGGTTGGGAGATCCCCTCTGCCGGCGCGGCCTGGCTGGGCTGCAGCGCGGGGGCGGCCCTCGCTGCCTGGCTCACGAAAGCCCCCTGTGGGAGAGCCCCAGGCGCGCAGGGCACGTGGGGTGCGGGAAGCCCCGTTCCCCACGCGCCGGTGTGGGCGAAGGCGACCCACGAGGGAGCAGGGTGACCCCCGCCGGGGGCCGCGCTGCACAGGCCGCCTGCCTGCGCGGGCGCCCTGCCACCCTGTCCCGGGTGCCTGGCCCTTCGATTCTGAAACCAGATCTGAATCCTGGACTCCGGGAGGCCCGTCTCTCTGGCCAGCTCCTCCCGGGCGGCGATGCCTGGAAAGCGATCCTTCTCAAAGGCTCGGAGGAGCAGGGCGGTCTGGGATCCGGTGACGGCGGTCCGCTTTCGCCGGCCTTCTGGCGGGCCGCGTCTCCCGGGCCAGGGCCGAGATTCCCGCCGGTGCTGCCTCAGCTGGCGTGACCTCTCATTCTGAAACCAAATCTGGACCCTGGGCTCCGGAATGCCGATGGCCTGGGCCAGCCGTTCTCTGGTGGCGATGCCCGGGTACGGGTTCCGCTCAAAGCAGGCTCGCAGGGCCTCGCTTTGGCTCGGGGTCCAAACGAGTCTCCGTCGCCGTCCTCGTCCCCGGGCTTCCGCGGGGAGGGTGCTGTCCGAGGGTGTCGGGAGGGCCATCGCGGTGAGCCCCGGCCGGAATTTCACGGACGGACGCGGGCAGAGAGAGGCCGGCGGGCTCCCGTGCACCTCAGCCGGACTGTGCACTGCGGCAGGTGCAGCCAGGAGGCCTGCCCGGACAGCCAGCCAGCCAGCCAGCCAGCCGCCCTTGTAAAGGCCCACAGGCAGGCAGGCTCCACCCCTTCATGAATGGCGGTGAGCCCCCCTGGGACAGCCCGCCCCACCCCGGAAGGGACCCAGGGCGTCGAGGCCTGGGGCCGGCCGGCGGGGTGGTGGTGGTGGTGGTGGTGGTGGGGGGGGGGGTGGTGGGGGAGGGCGTGGTGGCGGTGGTGGTGGTGGGGCCGGAGAGACGAAGAGGAAGGGGGAGAGGGGGGAGGGGGGAGGGGGGCGCGTTTCGGGGGCCGGCTCTCCGGACCTCTCCAGGGATCCCGCGGGAACGGGAAGCCGCTCTCTGGGCTCCCACGCGTCGGCAGCAGGGAGAAACCAGCCTGGGAGGGTGGAGGGGAGTGTGGAACTGAACCTCCGTGGGAGTCTTGAGTGTGCCAGGCCCTCTCTCCGTGAAGGAGGCAATGCCTGTGGGCGTCGCCGTTGCCGGGACGGTCTCGCACACGCAGGCGTGTGGCTCTCGTTCATTTCCACGTAGAAGACCAGAGCGAGACCCCAGAGAGGAGATGCCTCCCCGGCGTGATGGCCTGACGATGGATTCCCGCGTGCGGCAACGTGGGGAGTCTGCAGTGTGGCCGGTTTGGAACCTGGCAAGGAGAGCGAAGGCACCATGCCGGGCTTGCACCCTTCCCTGCATGTTTCCGGGTGCCCGCAGAGCTCCGGGAGCAAACAGTCGGCATGGCCAGCCTTTCGGGGGCCGGAGAGACGTGAGCAACAGGCCGCCTTGCGGAGGGCAAAGCCACGCGGAAACCAAAATCACGCCTCCGTCGTCCTGCGTGTGGCTCCTCCGTGGCCGGGGCTGTCGGCCTCGCGCCGCGTTGCAGGGCTCAGCCTGGGGATGTGCGGTCTGTGAACCGCGCGGGTGAAAACCCGACGGCAACCCGAGTCCCGGTCTTTTGTCCCGGAGGAAACCGCCCACTCCCTGGGCCCCGGAACCGGGGCGAATGGGTGGTGCCCCGCCGGCCGGCGCGGCGGCTGTGGGCCCAGCCCTCAGCCCGCGCCGGACGCTGACCGTTTTCCCGGAGGGCGGGGGTCCCGCTACTCCCGGAGGCCGAGGACCGCTTTTCCTCCCTGCCTTCCTCCCCCCGTCCGTCCCCGGCTCCCTCCCGCCCGCCCCCAGTCCCCGCGTCGCTCTGTCTTTCCCTCCGTTCCTCCCTGCCTCCCTGCCTCCCTCCCTCCCTCCTAACGTCCCTCCGCCCGTCCTTCCGCCCCTCTAGGTCTCCCGTTCCTCTCTCCATCTCTGCCCGCCTTCCCTCCCGCCTGGAACGCTCAGCGTCCCCGGTGTGCGCCGGGCCTGGGGTCTGCGTTCCGCCGCCAGGCGCTCCGTGCTGGCACCTGGGCGGCTGCAGGGGCCCGGGCGGGCGGGCGACGGTGGCGCGGGGGCGCAGAGGAGGCGAGCCGCCGGAGCGGTGTCAGGCCCGGACGCTGCGCGGGGCCAGGTGTTTCGCGGGACGGGGGTCTCCACCCAGCCCAGGGGACGACGCGTTTTCCGGGGGTGGGGGGTGGGGGTGGGGAGGGGGCGGTCAGGCGGCGGGGTGGGCTGGTGGAGAGGCAGGAGAGCTCTGCCCGGGCTGCTCCCACAGCCCAGGCGGCTGCCCGCAAACCCGCGCGTGCGCAGTAGGCGGCCCACCTGCTGGTACCTGGGCCGGCTCTGGGATCCCCGGGATGCCCAGGAAAGAATGGCAGTTCTCCGCGGTGTGGAGTCTCTCACCGGGCCTAGACCTAGAAGGCAGGAATCCCAGGCCGGTCAGCCCGGTGGAGGGGGCGGGGCGGAGACACGCCCCTCCGTAGCCAGCCAGGTGTTCCCCGCGAAAGAGAGGCCACCGCCCTGCCCCGAACCACCCGACCCCGTCCCAACCCCGCGTCCTAAAGCTCCTCCAGCAGAGCCCGGTATTCTTCCTCGCTGAGGGGTGCTTCCAGCGAGGCGGCCTCTTCCGAGGCCTCCAGCTCCCCCGGGGCCTCCGTTTCTAGGAGAGGTTGCGCCTGCTGCAGAAACTCCGGGCTCGCCAGGAGCTCATCCAGCAGCAGGCCGCAGGGGAGTGCAGACCAGGGCGCCGGCTCCTGGAGCGCCTGGGAGGGCGCCGGGATGCCTTGCATCTGCCCCTGCCGCGCGGAGGCGGAGGCGTCCGGGGGCGCGGGCTGGGGAGGTGGAGCTGCCCCGGCTTGGGGTTCCCACGCCGCCCCGGCGACCTGGGGACCCCGGCCCCAGCCCCACCACGGACTCCCCTGGGACGTGGGTGGCGCAAGCACCCCTTGGCCCTGCGGCCCCGCTTGAGCGGGCCCAGGCTGTGCCACCGCGCAGGGGCCCGGCAGGCCGTCGCGCTGCGGGTCCCGGTCCTCCCGGCTTTTGCCCGGGTGCGGAGGCCACCGAGGAGCCTGAGGGTGGGAGAGCGCCCCGTCCGGAGGAGCCGGGGCGGCGTAGGCGAAATCCCCGCGCGCCGGGGCAGGTTGGGAGATCCCCTCTGCCGGCGCGGCCTGGCTGGGCTGCAGCGCGGGGGCGGCCCTCGCTGCCTGGCTCACGAAAGCCCCCTGTGGGAGAGCCCCAGGCGCGCAGGGCACGTGGGGTGCGGGAAGCCCCGTTCCCCACGCGCCGGTGTGGGCGAAGGCGACCCACGAGGGAGCAGGGTGACCCCCGCCGGGGGCCGCGCTGCACAGGCCGCCTGCCTGCGCGGGCGCCCTGCCACCCTGTCCCGGGTGCCTGGCCCTTCGATTCTGAAACCAGATCTGAATCCTGGACTCCGGGAGGCCCGTCTCTCTGGCCAGCTCCTCCCGGGCGGCGATGCCTGGAAAGCGATCCTTCTCAAAGGCTCGGAGGAGCAGGGCGGTCTGGGATCCGGTGACGGCGGTCCGCTTTCGCCGGCCTTCTGGCGGGCCGCGTCTCCCGGGCCAGGGCCGAGATTCCCGCCGGTGCTGCCTCAGCTGGCGTGACCTCTCATTCTGAAACCAAATCTGGACCCTGGGCTCCGGAATGCCGATGGCCTGGGCCAGCCGTTCTCTGGTGGCGATGCCCGGGTACGGGTTCCGCTCAAAGCAGGCTCGCAGGGCCTCGCTTTGGCTCGGGGTCCAAACGAGTCTCCGTCGCCGTCCTCGTCCCCGGGCTTCCGCGGGGAGGGTGCTGTCCGAGGGTGTCGGGAGGGCCATCGCGGTGAGCCCCGGCCGGAATTTCACGGACGGACGCGGGCAGAGAGAGGCCGGCGGGCTCCCGTGCACCTCAGCCGGACTGTGCACTGCGGCAGGTGCAGCCAGGAGGCCTGCCCGGACAGCCAGCCAGCCAGCCAGCCAGCCGCCCTTGTAAAGGCCCACAGGCAGGCAGGCTCCACCCCTTCATGAATGGCGGTGAGCCCCCCTGGGACAGCCCGCCCCACCCCGGAAGGGACCCAGGGCGTCGAGGCCTGGGGCCGGCCGGCGGGGTGGTGGTGGTGGTGGTGGTGGTGGGGGGGGGGGTGGTGGGGGAGGGCGTGGTGGCGGTGGTGGTGGTGGGGCCGGAGAGACGAAGAGGAAGGGGGAGAGGGGGGAGGGGGGAGGGGGGCGCGTTTCGGGGGCCGGCTCTCCGGACCTCTCCAGGGATCCCGCGGGAACGGGAAGCCGCTCTCTGGGCTCCCACGCGTCGGCAGCAGGGAGAAACCAGCCTGGGAGGGTGGAGGGGAGTGTGGAACTGAACCTCCGTGGGAGTCTTGAGTGTGCCAGGCCCTCTCTCCGTGAAGGAGGCAATGCCTGTGGGCGTCGCCGTTGCCGGGACGGTCTCGCACACGCAGGCGTGTGGCTCTCGTTCATTTCCACGTAGAAGACCAGAGCGAGACCCCAGAGAGGAGATGCCTCCCCGGCGTGATGGCCTGACGATGGATTCCCGCGTGCGGCAACGTGGGGAGTCTGCAGTGTGGCCGGTTTGGAACCTGGCAAGGAGAGCGAAGGCACCATGCCGGGCTTGCACCCTTCCCTGCATGTTTCCGGGTGCCCGCAGAGCTCCGGGAGCAAACAGTCGGCATGGCCAGCCTTTCGGGGGCCGGAGAGACGTGAGCAACAGGCCGCCTTGCGGAGGGCAAAGCCACGCGGAAACCAAAATCACGCCTCCGTCGTCCTGCGTGTGGCTCCTCCGTGGCCGGGGCTGTCGGCCTCGCGCCGCGTTGCAGGGCTCAGCCTGGGGATGTGCGGTCTGTGAACCGCGCGGGTGAAAACCCGACGGCAACCCGAGTCCCGGTCTTTTGTCCCGGAGGAAACCGCCCACTCCCTGGGCCCCGGAACCGGGGCGAATGGGTGGTGCCCCGCCGGCCGGCGCGGCGGCTGTGGGCCCAGCCCTCAGCCCGCGCCGGACGCTGACCGTTTTCCCGGAGGGCGGGGGTCCCGCTACTCCCGGAGGCCGAGGACCGCTTTTCCTCCCTGCCTTCCTCCCCCCGTCCGTCCCCGGCTCCCTCCCGCCCGCCCCCAGTCCCCGCGTCGCTCTGTCTTTCCCTCCGTTCCTCCCTGCCTCCCTGCCTCCCTCCCTCCCTCCTAACGTCCCTCCGCCCGTCCTTCCGCCCCTCTAGGTCTCCCGTTCCTCTCTCCATCTCTGCCCGCCTTCCCTCCCGCCTGGAACGCTCAGCGTCCCCGGTGTGCGCCGGGCCTGGGGTCTGCGTTCCGCCGCCAGGCGCTCCGTGCTGGCACCTGGGCGGCTGCAGGGGCCCGGGCGGGCGGGCGACGGTGGCGCGGGGGCGCAGAGGAGGCGAGCCGCCGGAGCGGTGTCAGGCCCGGACGCTGCGCGGGGCCAGGTGTTTCGCGGGACGGGGGTCTCCACCCAGCCCAGGGGACGACGCGTTTTCCGGGGGTGGGGGGTGGGGGTGGGGAGGGGGCGGTCAGGCGGCGGGGTGGGCTGGTGGAGAGGCAGGAGAGCTCTGCCCGGGCTGCTCCCACAGCCCAGGCGGCTGCCCGCAAACCCGCGCGTGCGCAGTAGGCGGCCCACCTGCTGGTACCTGGGCCGGCTCTGGGATCCCCGGGATGCCCAGGAAAGAATGGCAGTTCTCCGCGGTGTGGAGTCTCTCACCGGGCCTAGACCTAGAAGGCAGGAATCCCAGGCCGGTCAGCCCGGTGGAGGGGGCGGGGCGGAGACACGCCCCTCCGTAGCCAGCCAGGTGTTCCCCGCGAAAGAGAGGCCACCGCCCTGCCCCGAACCACCCGACCCCGTCCCAACCCCGCGTCCTAAAGCTCCTCCAGCAGAGCCCGGTATTCTTCCTCGCTGAGGGGTGCTTCCAGCGAGGCGGCCTCTTCCGAGGCCTCCAGCTCCCCCGGGGCCTCCGTTTCTAGGAGAGGTTGCGCCTGCTGCAGAAACTCCGGGCTCGCCAGGAGCTCATCCAGCAGCAGGCCGCAGGGGAGTGCAGACCAGGGCGCCGGCTCCTGGAGCGCCTGGGAGGGCGCCGGGATGCCTTGCATCTGCCCCTGCCGCGCGGAGGCGGAGGCGTCCGGGGGCGCGGGCTGGGGAGGTGGAGCTGCCCCGGCTTGGGGTTCCCACGCCGCCCCGGCGACCTGGGGACCCCGGCCCCAGCCCCACCACGGACTCCCCTGGGACGTGGGTGGCGCAAGCACCCCTTGGCCCTGCGGCCCCGCTTGAGCGGGCCCAGGCTGTGCCACCGCGCAGGGGCCCGGCAGGCCGTCGCGCTGCGGGTCCCGGTCCTCCCGGCTTTTGCCCGGGTGCGGAGGCCACCGAGGAGCCTGAGGGTGGGAGAGCGCCCCGTCCGGAGGAGCCGGGGCGGCGTAGGCGAAATCCCCGCGCGCCGGGGCAGGTTGGGAGATCCCCTCTGCCGGCGCGGCCTGGCTGGGCTGCAGCGCGGGGGCGGCCCTCGCTGCCTGGCTCACGAAAGCCCCCTGTGGGAGAGCCCCAGGCGCGCAGGGCACGTGGGGTGCGGGAAGCCCCGTTCCCCACGCGCCGGTGTGGGCGAAGGCGACCCACGAGGGAGCAGGGTGACCCCCGCCGGGGGCCGCGCTGCACAGGCCGCCTGCCTGCGCGGGCGCCCTGCCACCCTGTCCCGGGTGCCTGGCCCTTCGATTCTGAAACCAGATCTGAATCCTGGACTCCGGGAGGCCCGTCTCTCTGGCCAGCTCCTCCCGGGCGGCGATGCCTGGAAAGCGATCCTTCTCAAAGGCTCGGAGGAGCAGGGCGGTCTGGGATCCGGTGACGGCGGTCCGCTTTCGCCGGCCTTCTGGCGGGCCGCGTCTCCCGGGCCAGGGCCGAGATTCCCGCCGGTGCTGCCTCAGCTGGCGTGACCTCTCATTCTGAAACCAAATCTGGACCCTGGGCTCCGGAATGCCGATGGCCTGGGCCAGCCGTTCTCTGGTGGCGATGCCCGGGTACGGGTTCCGCTCAAAGCAGGCTCGCAGGGCCTCGCTTTGGCTCGGGGTCCAAACGAGTCTCCGTCGCCGTCCTCGTCCCCGGGCTTCCGCGGGGAGGGTGCTGTCCGAGGGTGTCGGGAGGGCCATCGCGGTGAGCCCCGGCCGGAATTTCACGGACGGACGCGGGCAGAGAGAGGCCGGCGGGCTCCCGTGCACCTCAGCCGGACTGTGCACTGCGGCAGGTGCAGCCAGGAGGCCTGCCCGGACAGCCAGCCAGCCAGCCAGCCAGCCGCCCTTGTAAAGGCCCACAGGCAGGCAGGCTCCACCCCTTCATGAATGGCGGTGAGCCCCCCTGGGACAGCCCGCCCCACCCCGGAAGGGACCCAGGGCGTCGAGGCCTGGGGCCGGCCGGCGGGGTGGTGGTGGTGGTGGTGGTGGTGGGGGGGGGGGTGGTGGGGGAGGGCGTGGTGGCGGTGGTGGTGGTGGGGCCGGAGAGACGAAGAGGAAGGGGGAGAGGGGGGAGGGGGGAGGGGGGCGCGTTTCGGGGGCCGGCTCTCCGGACCTCTCCAGGGATCCCGCGGGAACGGGAAGCCGCTCTCTGGGCTCCCACGCGTCGGCAGCAGGGAGAAACCAGCCTGGGAGGGTGGAGGGGAGTGTGGAACTGAACCTCCGTGGGAGTCTTGAGTGTGCCAGGCCCTCTCTCCGTGAAGGAGGCAATGCCTGTGGGCGTCGCCGTTGCCGGGACGGTCTCGCACACGCAGGCGTGTGGCTCTCGTTCATTTCCACGTAGAAGACCAGAGCGAGACCCCAGAGAGGAGATGCCTCCCCGGCGTGATGGCCTGACGATGGATTCCCGCGTGCGGCAACGTGGGGAGTCTGCAGTGTGGCCGGTTTGGAACCTGGCAAGGAGAGCGAAGGCACCATGCCGGGCTTGCACCCTTCCCTGCATGTTTCCGGGTGCCCGCAGAGCTCCGGGAGCAAACAGTCGGCATGGCCAGCCTTTCGGGGGCCGGAGAGACGTGAGCAACAGGCCGCCTTGCGGAGGGCAAAGCCACGCGGAAACCAAAATCACGCCTCCGTCGTCCTGCGTGTGGCTCCTCCGTGGCCGGGGCTGTCGGCCTCGCGCCGCGTTGCAGGGCTCAGCCTGGGGATGTGCGGTCTGTGAACCGCGCGGGTGAAAACCCGACGGCAACCCGAGTCCCGGTCTTTTGTCCCGGAGGAAACCGCCCACTCCCTGGGCCCCGGAACCGGGGCGAATGGGTGGTGCCCCGCCGGCCGGCGCGGCGGCTGTGGGCCCAGCCCTCAGCCCGCGCCGGACGCTGACCGTTTTCCCGGAGGGCGGGGGTCCCGCTACTCCCGGAGGCCGAGGACCGCTTTTCCTCCCTGCCTTCCTCCCCCCGTCCGTCCCCGGCTCCCTCCCGCCCGCCCCCAGTCCCCGCGTCGCTCTGTCTTTCCCTCCGTTCCTCCCTGCCTCCCTGCCTCCCTCCCTCCCTCCTAACGTCCCTCCGCCCGTCCTTCCGCCCCTCTAGGTCTCCCGTTCCTCTCTCCATCTCTGCCCGCCTTCCCTCCCGCCTGGAACGCTCAGCGTCCCCGGTGTGCGCCGGGCCTGGGGTCTGCGTTCCGCCGCCAGGCGCTCCGTGCTGGCACCTGGGCGGCTGCAGGGGCCCGGGCGGGCGGGCGACGGTGGCGCGGGGGCGCAGAGGAGGCGAGCCGCCGGAGCGGTGTCAGGCCCGGACGCTGCGCGGGGCCAGGTGTTTCGCGGGACGGGGGTCTCCACCCAGCCCAGGGGACGACGCGTTTTCCGGGGGTGGGGGGTGGGGGTGGGGAGGGGGCGGTCAGGCGGCGGGGTGGGCTGGTGGAGAGGCAGGAGAGCTCTGCCCGGGCTGCTCCCACAGCCCAGGCGGCTGCCCGCAAACCCGCGCGTGCGCAGTAGGCGGCCCACCTGCTGGTACCTGGGCCGGCTCTGGGATCCCCGGGATGCCCAGGAAAGAATGGCAGTTCTCCGCGGTGTGGAGTCTCTCACCGGGCCTAGACCTAGAAGGCAGGAATCCCAGGCCGGTCAGCCCGGTGGAGGGGGCGGGGCGGAGACACGCCCCTCCGTAGCCAGCCAGGTGTTCCCCGCGAAAGAGAGGCCACCGCCCTGCCCCGAACCACCCGACCCCGTCCCAACCCCGCGTCCTAAAGCTCCTCCAGCAGAGCCCGGTATTCTTCCTCGCTGAGGGGTGCTTCCAGCGAGGCGGCCTCTTCCGAGGCCTCCAGCTCCCCCGGGGCCTCCGTTTCTAGGAGAGGTTGCGCCTGCTGCAGAAACTCCGGGCTCGCCAGGAGCTCATCCAGCAGCAGGCCGCAGGGGAGTGCAGACCAGGGCGCCGGCTCCTGGAGCGCCTGGGAGGGCGCCGGGATGCCTTGCATCTGCCCCTGCCGCGCGGAGGCGGAGGCGTCCGGGGGCGCGGGCTGGGGAGGTGGAGCTGCCCCGGCTTGGGGTTCCCACGCCGCCCCGGCGACCTGGGGACCCCGGCCCCAGCCCCACCACGGACTCCCCTGGGACGTGGGTGGCGCAAGCACCCCTTGGCCCTGCGGCCCCGCTTGAGCGGGCCCAGGCTGTGCCACCGCGCAGGGGCCCGGCAGGCCGTCGCGCTGCGGGTCCCGGTCCTCCCGGCTTTTGCCCGGGTGCGGAGGCCACCGAGGAGCCTGAGGGTGGGAGAGCGCCCCGTCCGGAGGAGCCGGGGCGGCGTAGGCGAAATCCCCGCGCGCCGGGGCAGGTTGGGAGATCCCCTCTGCCGGCGCGGCCTGGCTGGGCTGCAGCGCGGGGGCGGCCCTCGCTGCCTGGCTCACGAAAGCCCCCTGTGGGAGAGCCCCAGGCGCGCAGGGCACGTGGGGTGCGGGAAGCCCCGTTCCCCACGCGCCGGTGTGGGCGAAGGCGACCCACGAGGGAGCAGGGTGACCCCCGCCGGGGGCCGCGCTGCACAGGCCGCCTGCCTGCGCGGGCGCCCTGCCACCCTGTCCCGGGTGCCTGGCCCTTCGATTCTGAAACCAGATCTGAATCCTGGACTCCGGGAGGCCCGTCTCTCTGGCCAGCTCCTCCCGGGCGGCGATGCCTGGAAAGCGATCCTTCTCAAAGGCTCGGAGGAGCAGGGCGGTCTGGGATCCGGTGACGGCGGTCCGCTTTCGCCGGCCTTCTGGCGGGCCGCGTCTCCCGGGCCAGGGCCGAGATTCCCGCCGGTGCTGCCTCAGCTGGCGTGACCTCTCATTCTGAAACCAAATCTGGACCCTGGGCTCCGGAATGCCGATGGCCTGGGCCAGCCGTTCTCTGGTGGCGATGCCCGGGTACGGGTTCCGCTCAAAGCAGGCTCGCAGGGCCTCGCTTTGGCTCGGGGTCCAAACGAGTCTCCGTCGCCGTCCTCGTCCCCGGGCTTCCGCGGGGAGGGTGCTGTCCGAGGGTGTCGGGAGGGCCATCGCGGTGAGCCCCGGCCGGAATTTCACGGACGGACGCGGGCAGAGAGAGGCCGGCGGGCTCCCGTGCACCTCAGCCGGACTGTGCACTGCGGCAGGTGCAGCCAGGAGGCCTGCCCGGACAGCCAGCCAGCCAGCCAGCCAGCCGCCCTTGTAAAGGCCCACAGGCAGGCAGGCTCCACCCCTTCATGAATGGCGGTGAGCCCCCCTGGGACAGCCCGCCCCACCCCGGAAGGGACCCAGGGCGTCGAGGCCTGGGGCCGGCCGGCGGGGTGGTGGTGGTGGTGGTGGTGGTGGGGGGGGGGGTGGTGGGGGAGGGCGTGGTGGCGGTGGTGGTGGTGGGGCCGGAGAGACGAAGAGGAAGGGGGAGAGGGGGGAGGGGGGAGGGGGGCGCGTTTCGGGGGCCGGCTCTCCGGACCTCTCCAGGGATCCCGCGGGAACGGGAAGCCGCTCTCTGGGCTCCCACGCGTCGGCAGCAGGGAGAAACCAGCCTGGGAGGGTGGAGGGGAGTGTGGAACTGAACCTCCGTGGGAGTCTTGAGTGTGCCAGGCCCTCTCTCCGTGAAGGAGGCAATGCCTGTGGGCGTCGCCGTTGCCGGGACGGTCTCGCACACGCAGGCGTGTGGCTCTCGTTCATTTCCACGTAGAAGACCAGAGCGAGACCCCAGAGAGGAGATGCCTCCCCGGCGTGATGGCCTGACGATGGATTCCCGCGTGCGGCAACGTGGGGAGTCTGCAGTGTGGCCGGTTTGGAACCTGGCAAGGAGAGCGAAGGCACCATGCCGGGCTTGCACCCTTCCCTGCATGTTTCCGGGTGCCCGCAGAGCTCCGGGAGCAAACAGTCGGCATGGCCAGCCTTTCGGGGGCCGGAGAGACGTGAGCAACAGGCCGCCTTGCGGAGGGCAAAGCCACGCGGAAACCAAAATCACGCCTCCGTCGTCCTGCGTGTGGCTCCTCCGTGGCCGGGGCTGTCGGCCTCGCGCCGCGTTGCAGGGCTCAGCCTGGGGATGTGCGGTCTGTGAACCGCGCGGGTGAAAACCCGACGGCAACCCGAGTCCCGGTCTTTTGTCCCGGAGGAAACCGCCCACTCCCTGGGCCCCGGAACCGGGGCGAATGGGTGGTGCCCCGCCGGCCGGCGCGGCGGCTGTGGGCCCAGCCCTCAGCCCGCGCCGGACGCTGACCGTTTTCCCGGAGGGCGGGGGTCCCGCTACTCCCGGAGGCCGAGGACCGCTTTTCCTCCCTGCCTTCCTCCCCCCGTCCGTCCCCGGCTCCCTCCCGCCCGCCCCCAGTCCCCGCGTCGCTCTGTCTTTCCCTCCGTTCCTCCCTGCCTCCCTGCCTCCCTCCCTCCCTCCTAACGTCCCTCCGCCCGTCCTTCCGCCCCTCTAGGTCTCCCGTTCCTCTCTCCATCTCTGCCCGCCTTCCCTCCCGCCTGGAACGCTCAGCGTCCCCGGTGTGCGCCGGGCCTGGGGTCTGCGTTCCGCCGCCAGGCGCTCCGTGCTGGCACCTGGGCGGCTGCAGGGGCCCGGGCGGGCGGGCGACGGTGGCGCGGGGGCGCAGAGGAGGCGAGCCGCCGGAGCGGTGTCAGGCCCGGACGCTGCGCGGGGCCAGGTGTTTCGCGGGACGGGGGTCTCCACCCAGCCCAGGGGACGACGCGTTTTCCGGGGGTGGGGGGTGGGGGTGGGGAGGGGGCGGTCAGGCGGCGGGGTGGGCTGGTGGAGAGGCAGGAGAGCTCTGCCCGGGCTGCTCCCACAGCCCAGGCGGCTGCCCGCAAACCCGCGCGTGCGCAGTAGGCGGCCCACCTGCTGGTACCTGGGCCGGCTCTGGGATCCCCGGGATGCCCAGGAAAGAATGGCAGTTCTCCGCGGTGTGGAGTCTCTCACCGGGCCTAGACCTAGAAGGCAGGAATCCCAGGCCGGTCAGCCCGGTGGAGGGGGCGGGGCGGAGACACGCCCCTCCGTAGCCAGCCAGGTGTTCCCCGCGAAAGAGAGGCCACCGCCCTGCCCCGAACCACCCGACCCCGTCCCAACCCCGCGTCCTAAAGCTCCTCCAGCAGAGCCCGGTATTCTTCCTCGCTGAGGGGTGCTTCCAGCGAGGCGGCCTCTTCCGAGGCCTCCAGCTCCCCCGGGGCCTCCGTTTCTAGGAGAGGTTGCGCCTGCTGCAGAAACTCCGGGCTCGCCAGGAGCTCATCCAGCAGCAGGCCGCAGGGGAGTGCAGACCAGGGCGCCGGCTCCTGGAGCGCCTGGGAGGGCGCCGGGATGCCTTGCATCTGCCCCTGCCGCGCGGAGGCGGAGGCGTCCGGGGGCGCGGGCTGGGGAGGTGGAGCTGCCCCGGCTTGGGGTTCCCACGCCGCCCCGGCGACCTGGGGACCCCGGCCCCAGCCCCACCACGGACTCCCCTGGGACGTGGGTGGCGCAAGCACCCCTTGGCCCTGCGGCCCCGCTTGAGCGGGCCCAGGCTGTGCCACCGCGCAGGGGCCCGGCAGGCCGTCGCGCTGCGGGTCCCGGTCCTCCCGGCTTTTGCCCGGGTGCGGAGGCCACCGAGGAGCCTGAGGGTGGGAGAGCGCCCCGTCCGGAGGAGCCGGGGCGGCGTAGGCGAAATCCCCGCGCGCCGGGGCAGGTTGGGAGATCCCCTCTGCCGGCGCGGCCTGGCTGGGCTGCAGCGCGGGGGCGGCCCTCGCTGCCTGGCTCACGAAAGCCCCCTGTGGGAGAGCCCCAGGCGCGCAGGGCACGTGGGGTGCGGGAAGCCCCGTTCCCCACGCGCCGGTGTGGGCGAAGGCGACCCACGAGGGAGCAGGGTGACCCCCGCCGGGGGCCGCGCTGCACAGGCCGCCTGCCTGCGCGGGCGCCCTGCCACCCTGTCCCGGGTGCCTGGCCCTTCGATTCTGAAACCAGATCTGAATCCTGGACTCCGGGAGGCCCGTCTCTCTGGCCAGCTCCTCCCGGGCGGCGATGCCTGGAAAGCGATCCTTCTCAAAGGCTCGGAGGAGCAGGGCGGTCTGGGATCCGGTGACGGCGGTCCGCTTTCGCCGGCCTTCTGGCGGGCCGCGTCTCCCGGGCCAGGGCCGAGATTCCCGCCGGTGCTGCCTCAGCTGGCGTGACCTCTCATTCTGAAACCAAATCTGGACCCTGGGCTCCGGAATGCCGATGGCCTGGGCCAGCCGTTCTCTGGTGGCGATGCCCGGGTACGGGTTCCGCTCAAAGCAGGCTCGCAGGGCCTCGCTTTGGCTCGGGGTCCAAACGAGTCTCCGTCGCCGTCCTCGTCCCCGGGCTTCCGCGGGGAGGGTGCTGTCCGAGGGTGTCGGGAGGGCCATCGCGGTGAGCCCCGGCCGGAATTTCACGGACGGACGCGGGCAGAGAGAGGCCGGCGGGCTCCCGTGCACCTCAGCCGGACTGTGCACTGCGGCAGGTGCAGCCAGGAGGCCTGCCCGGACAGCCAGCCAGCCAGCCAGCCAGCCGCCCTTGTAAAGGCCCACAGGCAGGCAGGCTCCACCCCTTCATGAATGGCGGTGAGCCCCCCTGGGACAGCCCGCCCCACCCCGGAAGGGACCCAGGGCGTCGAGGCCTGGGGCCGGCCGGCGGGGTGGTGGTGGTGGTGGTGGTGGTGGGGGGGGGGGTGGTGGGGGAGGGCGTGGTGGCGGTGGTGGTGGTGGGGCCGGAGAGACGAAGAGGAAGGGGGAGAGGGGGGAGGGGGGAGGGGGGCGCGTTTCGGGGGCCGGCTCTCCGGACCTCTCCAGGGATCCCGCGGGAACGGGAAGCCGCTCTCTGGGCTCCCACGCGTCGGCAGCAGGGAGAAACCAGCCTGGGAGGGTGGAGGGGAGTGTGGAACTGAACCTCCGTGGGAGTCTTGAGTGTGCCAGGCCCTCTCTCCGTGAAGGAGGCAATGCCTGTGGGCGTCGCCGTTGCCGGGACGGTCTCGCACACGCAGGCGTGTGGCTCTCGTTCATTTCCACGTAGAAGACCAGAGCGAGACCCCAGAGAGGAGATGCCTCCCCGGCGTGATGGCCTGACGATGGATTCCCGCGTGCGGCAACGTGGGGAGTCTGCAGTGTGGCCGGTTTGGAACCTGGCAAGGAGAGCGAAGGCACCATGCCGGGCTTGCACCCTTCCCTGCATGTTTCCGGGTGCCCGCAGAGCTCCGGGAGCAAACAGTCGGCATGGCCAGCCTTTCGGGGGCCGGAGAGACGTGAGCAACAGGCCGCCTTGCGGAGGGCAAAGCCACGCGGAAACCAAAATCACGCCTCCGTCGTCCTGCGTGTGGCTCCTCCGTGGCCGGGGCTGTCGGCCTCGCGCCGCGTTGCAGGGCTCAGCCTGGGGATGTGCGGTCTGTGAACCGCGCGGGTGAAAACCCGACGGCAACCCGAGTCCCGGTCTTTTGTCCCGGAGGAAACCGCCCACTCCCTGGGCCCCGGAACCGGGGCGAATGGGTGGTGCCCCGCCGGCCGGCGCGGCGGCTGTGGGCCCAGCCCTCAGCCCGCGCCGGACGCTGACCGTTTTCCCGGAGGGCGGGGGTCCCGCTACTCCCGGAGGCCGAGGACCGCTTTTCCTCCCTGCCTTCCTCCCCCCGTCCGTCCCCGGCTCCCTCCCGCCCGCCCCCAGTCCCCGCGTCGCTCTGTCTTTCCCTCCGTTCCTCCCTGCCTCCCTGCCTCCCTCCCTCCCTCCTAACGTCCCTCCGCCCGTCCTTCCGCCCCTCTAGGTCTCCCGTTCCTCTCTCCATCTCTGCCCGCCTTCCCTCCCGCCTGGAACGCTCAGCGTCCCCGGTGTGCGCCGGGCCTGGGGTCTGCGTTCCGCCGCCAGGCGCTCCGTGCTGGCACCTGGGCGGCTGCAGGGGCCCGGGCGGGCGGGCGACGGTGGCGCGGGGGCGCAGAGGAGGCGAGCCGCCGGAGCGGTGTCAGGCCCGGACGCTGCGCGGGGCCAGGTGTTTCGCGGGACGGGGGTCTCCACCCAGCCCAGGGGACGACGCGTTTTCCGGGGGTGGGGGGTGGGGGTGGGGAGGGGGCGGTCAGGCGGCGGGGTGGGCTGGTGGAGAGGCAGGAGAGCTCTGCCCGGGCTGCTCCCACAGCCCAGGCGGCTGCCCGCAAACCCGCGCGTGCGCAGTAGGCGGCCCACCTGCTGGTACCTGGGCCGGCTCTGGGATCCCCGGGATGCCCAGGAAAGAATGGCAGTTCTCCGCGGTGTGGAGTCTCTCACCGGGCCTAGACCTAGAAGGCAGGAATCCCAGGCCGGTCAGCCCGGTGGAGGGGGCGGGGCGGAGACACGCCCCTCCGTAGCCAGCCAGGTGTTCCCCGCGAAAGAGAGGCCACCGCCCTGCCCCGAACCACCCGACCCCGTCCCAACCCCGCGTCCTAAAGCTCCTCCAGCAGAGCCCGGTATTCTTCCTCGCTGAGGGGTGCTTCCAGCGAGGCGGCCTCTTCCGAGGCCTCCAGCTCCCCCGGGGCCTCCGTTTCTAGGAGAGGTTGCGCCTGCTGCAGAAACTCCGGGCTCGCCAGGAGCTCATCCAGCAGCAGGCCGCAGGGGAGTGCAGACCAGGGCGCCGGCTCCTGGAGCGCCTGGGAGGGCGCCGGGATGCCTTGCATCTGCCCCTGCCGCGCGGAGGCGGAGGCGTCCGGGGGCGCGGGCTGGGGAGGTGGAGCTGCCCCGGCTTGGGGTTCCCACGCCGCCCCGGCGACCTGGGGACCCCGGCCCCAGCCCCACCACGGACTCCCCTGGGACGTGGGTGGCGCAAGCACCCCTTGGCCCTGCGGCCCCGCTTGAGCGGGCCCAGGCTGTGCCACCGCGCAGGGGCCCGGCAGGCCGTCGCGCTGCGGGTCCCGGTCCTCCCGGCTTTTGCCCGGGTGCGGAGGCCACCGAGGAGCCTGAGGGTGGGAGAGCGCCCCGTCCGGAGGAGCCGGGGCGGCGTAGGCGAAATCCCCGCGCGCCGGGGCAGGTTGGGAGATCCCCTCTGCCGGCGCGGCCTGGCTGGGCTGCAGCGCGGGGGCGGCCCTCGCTGCCTGGCTCACGAAAGCCCCCTGTGGGAGAGCCCCAGGCGCGCAGGGCACGTGGGGTGCGGGAAGCCCCGTTCCCCACGCGCCGGTGTGGGCGAAGGCGACCCACGAGGGAGCAGGGTGACCCCCGCCGGGGGCCGCGCTGCACAGGCCGCCTGCCTGCGCGGGCGCCCTGCCACCCTGTCCCGGGTGCCTGGCCCTTCGATTCTGAAACCAGATCTGAATCCTGGACTCCGGGAGGCCCGTCTCTCTGGCCAGCTCCTCCCGGGCGGCGATGCCTGGAAAGCGATCCTTCTCAAAGGCTCGGAGGAGCAGGGCGGTCTGGGATCCGGTGACGGCGGTCCGCTTTCGCCGGCCTTCTGGCGGGCCGCGTCTCCCGGGCCAGGGCCGAGATTCCCGCCGGTGCTGCCTCAGCTGGCGTGACCTCTCATTCTGAAACCAAATCTGGACCCTGGGCTCCGGAATGCCGATGGCCTGGGCCAGCCGTTCTCTGGTGGCGATGCCCGGGTACGGGTTCCGCTCAAAGCAGGCTCGCAGGGCCTCGCTTTGGCTCGGGGTCCAAACGAGTCTCCGTCGCCGTCCTCGTCCCCGGGCTTCCGCGGGGAGGGTGCTGTCCGAGGGTGTCGGGAGGGCCATCGCGGTGAGCCCCGGCCGGAATTTCACGGACGGACGCGGGCAGAGAGAGGCCGGCGGGCTCCCGTGCACCTCAGCCGGACTGTGCACTGCGGCAGGTGCAGCCAGGAGGCCTGCCCGGACAGCCAGCCAGCCAGCCAGCCAGCCGCCCTTGTAAAGGCCCACAGGCAGGCAGGCTCCACCCCTTCATGAATGGCGGTGAGCCCCCCTGGGACAGCCCGCCCCACCCCGGAAGGGACCCAGGGCGTCGAGGCCTGGGGCCGGCCGGCGGGGTGGTGGTGGTGGTGGTGGTGGTGGGGGGGGGGGTGGTGGGGGAGGGCGTGGTGGCGGTGGTGGTGGTGGGGCCGGAGAGACGAAGAGGAAGGGGGAGAGGGGGGAGGGGGGAGGGGGGCGCGTTTCGGGGGCCGGCTCTCCGGACCTCTCCAGGGATCCCGCGGGAACGGGAAGCCGCTCTCTGGGCTCCCACGCGTCGGCAGCAGGGAGAAACCAGCCTGGGAGGGTGGAGGGGAGTGTGGAACTGAACCTCCGTGGGAGTCTTGAGTGTGCCAGGCCCTCTCTCCGTGAAGGAGGCAATGCCTGTGGGCGTCGCCGTTGCCGGGACGGTCTCGCACACGCAGGCGTGTGGCTCTCGTTCATTTCCACGTAGAAGACCAGAGCGAGACCCCAGAGAGGAGATGCCTCCCCGGCGTGATGGCCTGACGATGGATTCCCGCGTGCGGCAACGTGGGGAGTCTGCAGTGTGGCCGGTTTGGAACCTGGCAAGGAGAGCGAAGGCACCATGCCGGGCTTGCACCCTTCCCTGCATGTTTCCGGGTGCCCGCAGAGCTCCGGGAGCAAACAGTCGGCATGGCCAGCCTTTCGGGGGCCGGAGAGACGTGAGCAACAGGCCGCCTTGCGGAGGGCAAAGCCACGCGGAAACCAAAATCACGCCTCCGTCGTCCTGCGTGTGGCTCCTCCGTGGCCGGGGCTGTCGGCCTCGCGCCGCGTTGCAGGGCTCAGCCTGGGGATGTGCGGTCTGTGAACCGCGCGGGTGAAAACCCGACGGCAACCCGAGTCCCGGTCTTTTGTCCCGGAGGAAACCGCCCACTCCCTGGGCCCCGGAACCGGGGCGAATGGGTGGTGCCCCGCCGGCCGGCGCGGCGGCTGTGGGCCCAGCCCTCAGCCCGCGCCGGACGCTGACCGTTTTCCCGGAGGGCGGGGGTCCCGCTACTCCCGGAGGCCGAGGACCGCTTTTCCTCCCTGCCTTCCTCCCCCCGTCCGTCCCCGGCTCCCTCCCGCCCGCCCCCAGTCCCCGCGTCGCTCTGTCTTTCCCTCCGTTCCTCCCTGCCTCCCTGCCTCCCTCCCTCCCTCCTAACGTCCCTCCGCCCGTCCTTCCGCCCCTCTAGGTCTCCCGTTCCTCTCTCCATCTCTGCCCGCCTTCCCTCCCGCCTGGAACGCTCAGCGTCCCCGGTGTGCGCCGGGCCTGGGGTCTGCGTTCCGCCGCCAGGCGCTCCGTGCTGGCACCTGGGCGGCTGCAGGGGCCCGGGCGGGCGGGCGACGGTGGCGCGGGGGCGCAGAGGAGGCGAGCCGCCGGAGCGGTGTCAGGCCCGGACGCTGCGCGGGGCCAGGTGTTTCGCGGGACGGGGGTCTCCACCCAGCCCAGGGGACGACGCGTTTTCCGGGGGTGGGGGGTGGGGGTGGGGAGGGGGCGGTCAGGCGGCGGGGTGGGCTGGTGGAGAGGCAGGAGAGCTCTGCCCGGGCTGCTCCCACAGCCCAGGCGGCTGCCCGCAAACCCGCGCGTGCGCAGTAGGCGGCCCACCTGCTGGTACCTGGGCCGGCTCTGGGATCCCCGGGATGCCCAGGAAAGAATGGCAGTTCTCCGCGGTGTGGAGTCTCTCACCGGGCCTAGACCTAGAAGGCAGGAATCCCAGGCCGGTCAGCCCGGTGGAGGGGGCGGGGCGGAGACACGCCCCTCCGTAGCCAGCCAGGTGTTCCCCGCGAAAGAGAGGCCACCGCCCTGCCCCGAACCACCCGACCCCGTCCCAACCCCGCGTCCTAAAGCTCCTCCAGCAGAGCCCGGTATTCTTCCTCGCTGAGGGGTGCTTCCAGCGAGGCGGCCTCTTCCGAGGCCTCCAGCTCCCCCGGGGCCTCCGTTTCTAGGAGAGGTTGCGCCTGCTGCAGAAACTCCGGGCTCGCCAGGAGCTCATCCAGCAGCAGGCCGCAGGGGAGTGCAGACCAGGGCGCCGGCTCCTGGAGCGCCTGGGAGGGCGCCGGGATGCCTTGCATCTGCCCCTGCCGCGCGGAGGCGGAGGCGTCCGGGGGCGCGGGCTGGGGAGGTGGAGCTGCCCCGGCTTGGGGTTCCCACGCCGCCCCGGCGACCTGGGGACCCCGGCCCCAGCCCCACCACGGACTCCCCTGGGACGTGGGTGGCGCAAGCACCCCTTGGCCCTGCGGCCCCGCTTGAGCGGGCCCAGGCTGTGCCACCGCGCAGGGGCCCGGCAGGCCGTCGCGCTGCGGGTCCCGGTCCTCCCGGCTTTTGCCCGGGTGCGGAGGCCACCGAGGAGCCTGAGGGTGGGAGAGCGCCCCGTCCGGAGGAGCCGGGGCGGCGTAGGCGAAATCCCCGCGCGCCGGGGCAGGTTGGGAGATCCCCTCTGCCGGCGCGGCCTGGCTGGGCTGCAGCGCGGGGGCGGCCCTCGCTGCCTGGCTCACGAAAGCCCCCTGTGGGAGAGCCCCAGGCGCGCAGGGCACGTGGGGTGCGGGAAGCCCCGTTCCCCACGCGCCGGTGTGGGCGAAGGCGACCCACGAGGGAGCAGGGTGACCCCCGCCGGGGGCCGCGCTGCACAGGCCGCCTGCCTGCGCGGGCGCCCTGCCACCCTGTCCCGGGTGCCTGGCCCTTCGATTCTGAAACCAGATCTGAATCCTGGACTCCGGGAGGCCCGTCTCTCTGGCCAGCTCCTCCCGGGCGGCGATGCCTGGAAAGCGATCCTTCTCAAAGGCTCGGAGGAGCAGGGCGGTCTGGGATCCGGTGACGGCGGTCCGCTTTCGCCGGCCTTCTGGCGGGCCGCGTCTCCCGGGCCAGGGCCGAGATTCCCGCCGGTGCTGCCTCAGCTGGCGTGACCTCTCATTCTGAAACCAAATCTGGACCCTGGGCTCCGGAATGCCGATGGCCTGGGCCAGCCGTTCTCTGGTGGCGATGCCCGGGTACGGGTTCCGCTCAAAGCAGGCTCGCAGGGCCTCGCTTTGGCTCGGGGTCCAAACGAGTCTCCGTCGCCGTCCTCGTCCCCGGGCTTCCGCGGGGAGGGTGCTGTCCGAGGGTGTCGGGAGGGCCATCGCGGTGAGCCCCGGCCGGAATTTCACGGACGGACGCGGGCAGAGAGAGGCCGGCGGGCTCCCGTGCACCTCAGCCGGACTGTGCACTGCGGCAGGTGCAGCCAGGAGGCCTGCCCGGACAGCCAGCCAGCCAGCCAGCCAGCCGCCCTTGTAAAGGCCCACAGGCAGGCAGGCTCCACCCCTTCATGAATGGCGGTGAGCCCCCCTGGGACAGCCCGCCCCACCCCGGAAGGGACCCAGGGCGTCGAGGCCTGGGGCCGGCCGGCGGGGTGGTGGTGGTGGTGGTGGTGGTGGGGGGGGGGGTGGTGGGGGAGGGCGTGGTGGCGGTGGTGGTGGTGGGGCCGGAGAGACGAAGAGGAAGGGGGAGAGGGGGGAGGGGGGAGGGGGGCGCGTTTCGGGGGCCGGCTCTCCGGACCTCTCCAGGGATCCCGCGGGAACGGGAAGCCGCTCTCTGGGCTCCCACGCGTCGGCAGCAGGGAGAAACCAGCCTGGGAGGGTGGAGGGGAGTGTGGAACTGAACCTCCGTGGGAGTCTTGAGTGTGCCAGGCCCTCTCTCCGTGAAGGAGGCAATGCCTGTGGGCGTCGCCGTTGCCGGGACGGTCTCGCACACGCAGGCGTGTGGCTCTCGTTCATTTCCACGTAGAAGACCAGAGCGAGACCCCAGAGAGGAGATGCCTCCCCGGCGTGATGGCCTGACGATGGATTCCCGCGTGCGGCAACGTGGGGAGTCTGCAGTGTGGCCGGTTTGGAACCTGGCAAGGAGAGCGAAGGCACCATGCCGGGCTTGCACCCTTCCCTGCATGTTTCCGGGTGCCCGCAGAGCTCCGGGAGCAAACAGTCGGCATGGCCAGCCTTTCGGGGGCCGGAGAGACGTGAGCAACAGGCCGCCTTGCGGAGGGCAAAGCCACGCGGAAACCAAAATCACGCCTCCGTCGTCCTGCGTGTGGCTCCTCCGTGGCCGGGGCTGTCGGCCTCGCGCCGCGTTGCAGGGCTCAGCCTGGGGATGTGCGGTCTGTGAACCGCGCGGGTGAAAACCCGACGGCAACCCGAGTCCCGGTCTTTTGTCCCGGAGGAAACCGCCCACTCCCTGGGCCCCGGAACCGGGGCGAATGGGTGGTGCCCCGCCGGCCGGCGCGGCGGCTGTGGGCCCAGCCCTCAGCCCGCGCCGGACGCTGACCGTTTTCCCGGAGGGCGGGGGTCCCGCTACTCCCGGAGGCCGAGGACCGCTTTTCCTCCCTGCCTTCCTCCCCCCGTCCGTCCCCGGCTCCCTCCCGCCCGCCCCCAGTCCCCGCGTCGCTCTGTCTTTCCCTCCGTTCCTCCCTGCCTCCCTGCCTCCCTCCCTCCCTCCTAACGTCCCTCCGCCCGTCCTTCCGCCCCTCTAGGTCTCCCGTTCCTCTCTCCATCTCTGCCCGCCTTCCCTCCCGCCTGGAACGCTCAGCGTCCCCGGTGTGCGCCGGGCCTGGGGTCTGCGTTCCGCCGCCAGGCGCTCCGTGCTGGCACCTGGGCGGCTGCAGGGGCCCGGGCGGGCGGGCGACGGTGGCGCGGGGGCGCAGAGGAGGCGAGCCGCCGGAGCGGTGTCAGGCCCGGACGCTGCGCGGGGCCAGGTGTTTCGCGGGACGGGGGTCTCCACCCAGCCCAGGGGACGACGCGTTTTCCGGGGGTGGGGGGTGGGGGTGGGGAGGGGGCGGTCAGGCGGCGGGGTGGGCTGGTGGAGAGGCAGGAGAGCTCTGCCCGGGCTGCTCCCACAGCCCAGGCGGCTGCCCGCAAACCCGCGCGTGCGCAGTAGGCGGCCCACCTGCTGGTACCTGGGCCGGCTCTGGGATCCCCGGGATGCCCAGGAAAGAATGGCAGTTCTCCGCGGTGTGGAGTCTCTCACCGGGCCTAGACCTAGAAGGCAGGAATCCCAGGCCGGTCAGCCCGGTGGAGGGGGCGGGGCGGAGACACGCCCCTCCGTAGCCAGCCAGGTGTTCCCCGCGAAAGAGAGGCCACCGCCCTGCCCCGAACCACCCGACCCCGTCCCAACCCCGCGTCCTAAAGCTCCTCCAGCAGAGCCCGGTATTCTTCCTCGCTGAGGGGTGCTTCCAGCGAGGCGGCCTCTTCCGAGGCCTCCAGCTCCCCCGGGGCCTCCGTTTCTAGGAGAGGTTGCGCCTGCTGCAGAAACTCCGGGCTCGCCAGGAGCTCATCCAGCAGCAGGCCGCAGGGGAGTGCAGACCAGGGCGCCGGCTCCTGGAGCGCCTGGGAGGGCGCCGGGATGCCTTGCATCTGCCCCTGCCGCGCGGAGGCGGAGGCGTCCGGGGGCGCGGGCTGGGGAGGTGGAGCTGCCCCGGCTTGGGGTTCCCACGCCGCCCCGGCGACCTGGGGACCCCGGCCCCAGCCCCACCACGGACTCCCCTGGGACGTGGGTGGCGCAAGCACCCCTTGGCCCTGCGGCCCCGCTTGAGCGGGCCCAGGCTGTGCCACCGCGCAGGGGCCCGGCAGGCCGTCGCGCTGCGGGTCCCGGTCCTCCCGGCTTTTGCCCGGGTGCGGAGGCCACCGAGGAGCCTGAGGGTGGGAGAGCGCCCCGTCCGGAGGAGCCGGGGCGGCGTAGGCGAAATCCCCGCGCGCCGGGGCAGGTTGGGAGATCCCCTCTGCCGGCGCGGCCTGGCTGGGCTGCAGCGCGGGGGCGGCCCTCGCTGCCTGGCTCACGAAAGCCCCCTGTGGGAGAGCCCCAGGCGCGCAGGGCACGTGGGGTGCGGGAAGCCCCGTTCCCCACGCGCCGGTGTGGGCGAAGGCGACCCACGAGGGAGCAGGGTGACCCCCGCCGGGGGCCGCGCTGCACAGGCCGCCTGCCTGCGCGGGCGCCCTGCCACCCTGTCCCGGGTGCCTGGCCCTTCGATTCTGAAACCAGATCTGAATCCTGGACTCCGGGAGGCCCGTCTCTCTGGCCAGCTCCTCCCGGGCGGCGATGCCTGGAAAGCGATCCTTCTCAAAGGCTCGGAGGAGCAGGGCGGTCTGGGATCCGGTGACGGCGGTCCGCTTTCGCCGGCCTTCTGGCGGGCCGCGTCTCCCGGGCCAGGGCCGAGATTCCCGCCGGTGCTGCCTCAGCTGGCGTGACCTCTCATTCTGAAACCAAATCTGGACCCTGGGCTCCGGAATGCCGATGGCCTGGGCCAGCCGTTCTCTGGTGGCGATGCCCGGGTACGGGTTCCGCTCAAAGCAGGCTCGCAGGGCCTCGCTTTGGCTCGGGGTCCAAACGAGTCTCCGTCGCCGTCCTCGTCCCCGGGCTTCCGCGGGGAGGGTGCTGTCCGAGGGTGTCGGGAGGGCCATCGCGGTGAGCCCCGGCCGGAATTTCACGGACGGACGCGGGCAGAGAGAGGCCGGCGGGCTCCCGTGCACCTCAGCCGGACTGTGCACTGCGGCAGGTGCAGCCAGGAGGCCTGCCCGGACAGCCAGCCAGCCAGCCAGCCAGCCGCCCTTGTAAAGGCCCACAGGCAGGCAGGCTCCACCCCTTCATGAATGGCGGTGAGCCCCCCTGGGACAGCCCGCCCCACCCCGGAAGGGACCCAGGGCGTCGAGGCCTGGGGCCGGCCGGCGGGGTGGTGGTGGTGGTGGTGGTGGTGGGGGGGGGGGTGGTGGGGGAGGGCGTGGTGGCGGTGGTGGTGGTGGGGCCGGAGAGACGAAGAGGAAGGGGGAGAGGGGGGAGGGGGGAGGGGGGCGCGTTTCGGGGGCCGGCTCTCCGGACCTCTCCAGGGATCCCGCGGGAACGGGAAGCCGCTCTCTGGGCTCCCACGCGTCGGCAGCAGGGAGAAACCAGCCTGGGAGGGTGGAGGGGAGTGTGGAACTGAACCTCCGTGGGAGTCTTGAGTGTGCCAGGCCCTCTCTCCGTGAAGGAGGCAATGCCTGTGGGCGTCGCCGTTGCCGGGACGGTCTCGCACACGCAGGCGTGTGGCTCTCGTTCATTTCCACGTAGAAGACCAGAGCGAGACCCCAGAGAGGAGATGCCTCCCCGGCGTGATGGCCTGACGATGGATTCCCGCGTGCGGCAACGTGGGGAGTCTGCAGTGTGGCCGGTTTGGAACCTGGCAAGGAGAGCGAAGGCACCATGCCGGGCTTGCACCCTTCCCTGCATGTTTCCGGGTGCCCGCAGAGCTCCGGGAGCAAACAGTCGGCATGGCCAGCCTTTCGGGGGCCGGAGAGACGTGAGCAACAGGCCGCCTTGCGGAGGGCAAAGCCACGCGGAAACCAAAATCACGCCTCCGTCGTCCTGCGTGTGGCTCCTCCGTGGCCGGGGCTGTCGGCCTCGCGCCGCGTTGCAGGGCTCAGCCTGGGGATGTGCGGTCTGTGAACCGCGCGGGTGAAAACCCGACGGCAACCCGAGTCCCGGTCTTTTGTCCCGGAGGAAACCGCCCACTCCCTGGGCCCCGGAACCGGGGCGAATGGGTGGTGCCCCGCCGGCCGGCGCGGCGGCTGTGGGCCCAGCCCTCAGCCCGCGCCGGACGCTGACCGTTTTCCCGGAGGGCGGGGGTCCCGCTACTCCCGGAGGCCGAGGACCGCTTTTCCTCCCTGCCTTCCTCCCCCCGTCCGTCCCCGGCTCCCTCCCGCCCGCCCCCAGTCCCCGCGTCGCTCTGTCTTTCCCTCCGTTCCTCCCTGCCTCCCTGCCTCCCTCCCTCCCTCCTAACGTCCCTCCGCCCGTCCTTCCGCCCCTCTAGGTCTCCCGTTCCTCTCTCCATCTCTGCCCGCCTTCCCTCCCGCCTGGAACGCTCAGCGTCCCCGGTGTGCGCCGGGCCTGGGGTCTGCGTTCCGCCGCCAGGCGCTCCGTGCTGGCACCTGGGCGGCTGCAGGGGCCCGGGCGGGCGGGCGACGGTGGCGCGGGGGCGCAGAGGAGGCGAGCCGCCGGAGCGGTGTCAGGCCCGGACGCTGCGCGGGGCCAGGTGTTTCGCGGGACGGGGGTCTCCACCCAGCCCAGGGGACGACGCGTTTTCCGGGGGTGGGGGGTGGGGGTGGGGAGGGGGCGGTCAGGCGGCGGGGTGGGCTGGTGGAGAGGCAGGAGAGCTCTGCCCGGGCTGCTCCCACAGCCCAGGCGGCTGCCCGCAAACCCGCGCGTGCGCAGTAGGCGGCCCACCTGCTGGTACCTGGGCCGGCTCTGGGATCCCCGGGATGCCCAGGAAAGAATGGCAGTTCTCCGCGGTGTGGAGTCTCTCACCGGGCCTAGACCTAGAAGGCAGGAATCCCAGGCCGGTCAGCCCGGTGGAGGGGGCGGGGCGGAGACACGCCCCTCCGTAGCCAGCCAGGTGTTCCCCGCGAAAGAGAGGCCACCGCCCTGCCCCGAACCACCCGACCCCGTCCCAACCCCGCGTCCTAAAGCTCCTCCAGCAGAGCCCGGTATTCTTCCTCGCTGAGGGGTGCTTCCAGCGAGGCGGCCTCTTCCGAGGCCTCCAGCTCCCCCGGGGCCTCCGTTTCTAGGAGAGGTTGCGCCTGCTGCAGAAACTCCGGGCTCGCCAGGAGCTCATCCAGCAGCAGGCCGCAGGGGAGTGCAGACCAGGGCGCCGGCTCCTGGAGCGCCTGGGAGGGCGCCGGGATGCCTTGCATCTGCCCCTGCCGCGCGGAGGCGGAGGCGTCCGGGGGCGCGGGCTGGGGAGGTGGAGCTGCCCCGGCTTGGGGTTCCCACGCCGCCCCGGCGACCTGGGGACCCCGGCCCCAGCCCCACCACGGACTCCCCTGGGACGTGGGTGGCGCAAGCACCCCTTGGCCCTGCGGCCCCGCTTGAGCGGGCCCAGGCTGTGCCACCGCGCAGGGGCCCGGCAGGCCGTCGCGCTGCGGGTCCCGGTCCTCCCGGCTTTTGCCCGGGTGCGGAGGCCACCGAGGAGCCTGAGGGTGGGAGAGCGCCCCGTCCGGAGGAGCCGGGGCGGCGTAGGCGAAATCCCCGCGCGCCGGGGCAGGTTGGGAGACCCCCTCTGCCGTCGCGGCCTGGCTGGGCTGCAGCGCGGGGGCGGCCCTCGCTGCCTGGCTCACGAAAGCCCCCTGTGGGAGAGCCCCAGGCGCGCGCATCCCAATGTCTCCCCATCTCCCCTCACACACTTCTGACTTGAGGCACAATAGATTTATAAAAAATGGCATGACAAGGGTCTCCAGAAGTGTGCACAGATTTTCCCAGATCCCCAAAAGCAATGCCAAACTAGTCAGATCATTTATGTTCTCACAAGATTCTGGGAGGATTTTGCCTGCGAGTTCGAATGCACTTTAAGATTCTGGGAGGGAGAGAAAAAGCCTTAGGGGATTGCAGAGTAGAATAAACATAAGACAGGAAATGTTCCTCTGTTACAGCAAGGAAAATAGAAGTAGGCTTTCTGGAAACAGTTTGCACTGGAGCAGAGATGACCACAGTATATTCAAACTCTGGCCTTGTCCGTGACGTTTAATAGGGTTTTTTGTTTTTCTCTTGTAAATTTTTTTTTCATTGGTGCAGAAATTTGATGAAGTCTGGCTTACAGCCTGTCCACTGCAGTTTATTTTTTCACCCAGAACAGTAACTGGGCTAATGAGAAAATGCCCAACTCCCAGTATCTCCTTCAGGAGAGAATTAAAACAGTAGAATATGTGTTGAAATGTTTGGCTTTTTGATAAATTGTCTAATGACTAGATTCTTTCTCTCCTGATGTGGAGTGCTGAAGGACATGATGGAGTCATATAGATGACAGTTTGTGTCTGCTGAGAAGAAAGATGAGTGTTTGCTACAGCACTAGTGAAACTGCAATACCACAGACAGCCAACTGGGGAAGAAAATAGACAATAGAATCTAAAATACATTGAGAAAAAATTCTCTTTAACTTGGAAACACAGCGAAGTCCAGAGAAAATATATTTGGGAATGTGTTTGTGAAGCACCTAGAATCTATAGCCTGGACTATTGCTGTCGGTATCCCCCTTTACTGAGCCAGTCTTTAAATGCTAGATTTGATGAGTGCTGTATAGATCCCCAGATCTCTTTAAAAAAAAAAATCACAAGGCACACAGAGAAGGCAGAAAATATTCCCCATTGGAAGAAAAACATAAATATTCAGAAACTGAATTTTAACAAATAAAGATTTTTGCATATCTGATGGAGAACTTAAAATAATCATCTTATGCATTCTCAGTGAGCAAAACTATAACAGAAAGAGACAACTGAGTGAAATTTAAAAATAACGAATGAGCAAAATATCAACAAAGAGATAAAAACTATTTTTAAAAACCCAACAGAAATCATAGAGTTGAAGAATATAATAACTGAGTTTTATAAATTCACTACAGAGACACAACAGCAAACAATGGAGCAGAAAAAAGAAAATTGAACATATATTATTCACAAATATTGAGTCCTGGAAACTAATATTTTAAAGAATGGGAAAATTACGGGTGAAATATAAGACTTACTGGACACCATCAAGTAGACCAATACATTCAGAGATAGAGTCTTTTAAAAAGAATAGAGGGAGAAAATGGCATAAACATTATTTCAGAGAAAAAGCGGGGATGCTAAGAACTTTCCAGATTTCAAAGCAATGAAAGAAAAAATACTAGCAACCAATAATAATTGATCTGGGAAATACTGTATTTCAAAAATTAGAAAAAAATAAAGACTTTCAAAGATTAAAATAAAAAAGCTGAGGTTGTTAACTACTAGAATAACCCTAGGAAAAAAAATGCTAAAGAGAGTTAATTATGTTGAAAAATTAAATGATGCTGGACAGCATCATAAAACCACATGAAAATATAAAGCTCTCTGTTCAATGTAAATATATACACAGATATACAATTTTCTACTATAATGGTGCATTAAATTCTTAAATCTCTGTGAAAATACAAATCATATATAAAGATACAATTTGTAATGTTAAGAAAGTGACGGAAGTAAAAATGAATATATTTTGTATGTTGTTAAGGTGAAGTTGAAGGCAAAAGCCATTTGCCCTGGGGACCTTAGCAATGGGCAAGGGAGGAGGCAAGGCTGCCATTTTCTCTCCCTCGTTTCTTCCATCTCCCCTTACTCTGCATAGGGATTTTTCTTGGTCTGCAGGAATAGTCAATGGGCCAGGCTCTGTCCTGCGTGCACAAACACACACACACACACAGGTGCAGGTGGGCATGGCATGTATACGCGGAACCTGGGATTTTAATTTTAAAATTTTTAAAAAGTGGGAAACCAAGGATTTTTGGCATGATTCTCAGGACTTTGGGCTGGGGAAAGGGTAAGTCTTTGCTTTCTGCCATGTGGCATGCCATCAGTTGTTGGGGCTTTCTCCCTCAAGGTGTCCCCCAAGGAGATTGTGCAGGAGATTTACCCGGTGCTCATGGTCCGTGAAGACATGTGTCACCGCACCTGCTTCTCACTGCTCCTGGACAGCAACATGCTGGACCACTTCTCAGAGATGTGCAACATTGAGGAGCGGCAGGAGGGCTCAGGGCTGTGTGTGAGGGAAGGCTGTTTTGGAAGTTCGGTGGACTGCCTTGGGGACGGCCCCCAGAAGCAGGGCCAGGAAGCACTTCCCCACTTCTCTGAGGGCTCTGCGTCAGATGAGAGCATGAAGGTGGGATTGGAGCTGCGCTCTGCTTGTCAGGCTGTCACACCAGCACCTTCTAACTTCACAACCCGTGAGTTAAAGAACAGCGTTCTGATTCCAAAAAAAATGAGGCAGTACCAAGCCAGGCTTGATATCAGCCCAACAAAATTCTATAAAGAAAAATAATGTTTAAAAAAAAAGAAAGAAAAGCTTCACAGCCTTTGAGTAGGGAAGTCTGCCCCGTGCAGCACTGCCAACTGCTGAGGTGAGATTGGCATGGTTGTAAAGCAAAAGTTCTCATGCACTCAAGTTACCTGCGGGGAAGCTACTCATGTTCTCAGGGTCTACCTGCTTGTTAAGAGCAATTGTGAAAAAGATCTGTAGCTCAATGTGTCCCATAATTGATCACAGAACCTTTCCTTTTTCCCAAAAGAACCACCATTAAAATATCGTGAAACACACATTGGAAGACAGTGCTGAACTTGTGCATCCTGAAAAGTTCTTAGGACACCCCTGCATGAGGGCTGCCCCTGGACAGCAGGGCAAGGTTGTGGAGGCCCCAGAGCTCTGAAAGCTATGCCTACCCAAGACACTAGTGCACAAAGAGGAAGTGGCCTTGTGGCTCCCCAAGACCTGCCTGTGCTTCAGAGGCATTTGGCAGAAGGTTTCTTGTTAACAAGGATCCTTGCAGGAAGGAGAGAGAGAGAGACAGAAAGAGACATACAGAGAGAGAGACTGTGTGTGTGTGTGTGTGTGTGTTTGTGTGTGTGTGTGTGTGCTGAAACCAGAACTCCACCTTATGTGTTTATTGTGGAATTTGAAAATGAAAGCCTAAAGTTGAAAACTAAAATCACACATGACCGCACCCTGCCAACTATTTACTGTCTGAGAAGGGTCGTTCCAGGGTGTAGGACCCGGGTAACACCCTTTTCCCTTCCTTCCTGAAAGAGCTACACACACTGCTCAAAGCCTGTATCCACATGTTCCATGTCCAAGACGAGCTCAAGAGCCTGGACCCATCTGCCACTTTCAGCAGGGTTAACTGCAGCTGCTTGTTCTTCCTGAGCATCTTCTCCAATGGTGACCTGAGAGTTGAGGGAGGCATTGGCGCCAGGATTGAACAGAGGAAAAGGGAGCACAGACGCCAGGTGGTGAGGACCAGGCCATCTCACCTGGAGGGTTCTGGCCCTGAGACATCCAGACAAGCATCACATTTAGGTGCAGACAGCTGGCCTTGGGTGGCTCTGTGCTTGTCACCGGCCTCGGGTCCCTCAAACAGTGGGAAATGGAAGAATGGCTTGGAAATGGGCCCCATCAACTGTGTGTCACCTGAGCACATTCTCCCAGGGGTCCAGGAGGGGCCATCGTGTCTCCAGAACCAGAACTGGAAGGTCCAACTTCCAGGGGAAGCAAGGAAGAGTGTTCTTAGTGAAGTGGAGGGCCTCACAGCAAGATGCCTGGCTTAATCAAGCTTGGACATGCCTGAAGCATGTTCAGTGACTAAAAGTGCCTACCATGAGCAGCTGGAACCCACTCCCTGAGAGCTTCAAGATGCATGGGTACCTCATGTACCTGTTTGTAATTACAGCCAAGGACCAGCAGGCAGCATTACTGCATCCACATGGGGCTTTTACTGGAACCAGTAAGTCTCTGCCAGCCCCTCACAGGCTCCTGGGATGCCACTCATTCTGCGTCTATGGACAGACAACCAGGACACTTTCTCAGCGCCCACCCACTCCTTGTGGCCCACAGCCCATCACTCAACCCCAGCCCCACCATCCCCTGCTTCCTAAGCCATTCCTCATGCCAGAAGAAAAGGCAATACCTTTGTCCCACAGCCTCTGCCTTGTGTCATGTCATGTGGGCGTATGGAATGAACTGGCCAGCCTAAACTCCAGTGCTTATGCCTGAGGAATCTGTCCCCGCTGTCTGAGTCTCCCTCTAGGGAGCTGTCAGTGGGGGAGAGAGCAGCCCTGGAAGAGAGGCCCACGTGCTTCTGTTTGACTTCAGGGCAGCCTCTCAGGGCAAGAACCCAGAGCAGATGGAGGCCTCACAGAAGCCTGTGGCAGGGCTCTGGGCTTGGTGGCTGAACATCTCCCTCTCTGCTGCCAGCCATGGGGCCCAGAACCACCCATTCATGAGGGTCACCACCACATTGCAGGTGTGCAGCTGGACGGCTCCCCAGGCAGAGCCTGCCATGGACTCCATGCACACAGAGGATGCACACCTTGAGGCTGGACTATGAGGAGAACATTCCTGAAGAGGTGCATGAAGCCTGGTCCTGCCCTCACTGGGAACCCCCTTCCCTCTGGGTACCAGATAGAATTCTATGCACTTTCCTGGAGGCTCCATGCTGGTCTGTTCATTTGGAAGTTTGAGGCTGTCCATGAGGAAGTAACAAAAGAGATATCTCAGAGCAGGTTGTGAGGCACAGGCTGAGCCCTTGCCTAGTCCCTCCCTAGTCCCTTTGCAGAGCCGGGGCTGGAACAAGGACCTGTGGATAATGAGGGAACTGCTCTGCAATAACCGGCCTGAGCAGCTGCTTCAAGAAACAGCCACAATCGAGGCACCTATAGCCTCTGGTGAGTGACTGGCAGCCTCAGGCCCACCTGCCATCTGTGAGCAGGTTTTCTTGCTAACAGAATGAAAGCAAAGAAAGCTGGAATAAGCCCAGCCCTCTCAGGCACCTTGAAGTCTGTTGGGGTTCCTTGCAAAGCCTTCTAGCCTTCTGCTTCTTGGCAGCCCACACAAGCACCTTTTTCCAGCCTCTAAGACTTTGATGCTCTGGAAGGAGAGGGCCCTAGTTTTCACTAGGCTATGGGGCCAGGCCCATCCAGCTCCCTACTTCCACTAACAACCACAGGGCTCTCACCTGGGCACACACTGCCCAGCCATAGCCCTTCTAAGGCAGAAGATCATTTGTCTTGCAGTTTCAGCTTGCTAGGGCTTAAAAGTTATCAGTGCTGTTATTAAGATAGAGAAGTGAGATCATCAGCACAGGTGACAGCACAGCCCGGGCTGCTGGGGAGGCTGAGGGAGAGTGTCCAGCCTATTCTGCCAGCTGGGCCTTGCCAGGGGTGTCTCGTGACCCAGTCCCTTAGAGAAACATGCAGACATCTCAGCAAGGAGCTGGAAGGTGCAGATCAGGGCAGCCCAGCACCACTGATGGTGGAGTGGGGCTACCTCCCATCAAGCTGTGTCTCCACAGCTGACCCGTGGAGCCAGGAGGTGATTTACAACATCTGCAAGGCAGTCAGCCCCATCAGCTCTATGCCCTTCAACATTCACTTCAACTCAAACATCCCACCAGAAAGCAGTGGGGACTGGCCAATGCAGCAGCCCTGCAAAGTGGAACAGATCATCCTGGGGTGGGGAATCTGGGGCCTGCCTGCTCATCTGAGCACTGCTCCCTGGGTGTGTGCTCTGCAGGACCCCTGAAGGAGGGCTGTGAGCTCATCAGGGAGACCCTGAGCCTGTGGAACATGCCTGAGGCCATGTCCATGGGGATTTGTGCCTACTTGCACCTCCTTGCTCATCTCACTACGCTATTGGTGACTGTGCTGAGGTGGGCCTCGAGCATCCCCTGGGCTGTGTCAGCACAGGGCTCTGGGCCTGGCCTGGCATTGAGGGACGGCAAATAAGGGGCCTGGGTTTGCATTGTCACCTCCTGTGGTTCCAGAAAATGAGGAGGTCCAGACCTGCAGTACTGGAACCCTATCAAAGGGGTTAGGAGGCCGCTCACTTTCCCTCAGGGCCCCATGTGGAGGAGCTGAGGGAGGTTAAGGAGACCCTGGGGACTCACTTGTTCTGTCTGGGCTTCCCCCAGCTCCACCCTTTGATAACCATTTTCTGGGAAGAGCTCAGGAACCTCTCGTGCTGTAGTGAGGTGGGGCCTTCCCTCACAGGGTATTGGTGAGGAGGCATTCTGAGACTCTGTGAGTGAGAAGCTAACACAGTGCCTGAGAATACTCATGGGAGCTGTCATCCTCTGTGACCATCACGTGACCTTGTAGTGTTCAGACTGCCTGGCCTGGCCTTGGGCTTGGTAAGGCTGTTTTGGGGTCAGCTGCTTTAGACTCCCACTTTCTCTGCATTCAAACAGTGACTGTTTTAGTGTTTGTCTATGGGTTTAAAAAATCCTAATATTTCATTTATAGTAGTTTCAGCTTGTATGTGTGTATTTGTATAAATTTTATTAGAAGAAAGAGGGCTTAAGGCAACAGCATTTTAAGAAGGTCTTAATGGGGCATAGACTTTTATGTCACAACAGCTAATACTGACCTCTTTTTCTACCTTTGCATAAAGTATACGTAGAAAGTGCAGCCAGAGGTGGTGAGGCTAAGTGTCTAGAGCTGAGCTGCTGGGCTTGCTTGCTGGCCTGCAGTCAGGTGGACTCTGGCTGTGAGGCAGTGCCCACCCTGGATCTACATCCCCCACCCCCTCTCCTTAGTCCCTGAGTAACCAACACAAGGCAGTGCTAATAAGCAGGGGAGTGATGGGCATCGGGAACCCCAATACTATCCGGGAAGATCTGAATGCCATCTGGGCTGGGGCTGTTGGGGGTAGGGGCTGTGGCTGCCTTGGCTTGTCAGGGTGCCACCCACAGATGTGCCTGCCCTGTGCTGCTTCTCCAGCAGCCGGCTGCCTATGGCCCTGAGCCTGTCACACCATGCTTGCTACCTCATGCTACTTGTGTTTGAAAAACCATCCCAAGATGGTGCTGCTGGATGTGAGTGCTGAAAAGGGGGCAGCACCTTTGTCCTGGGGGATTAGGAGCTGACCAGATTCCTCCTGACTCCCTCCCGAAACAAGTGGGGCTGGTGCTGCAATCAATGATGCCCCCCAGAAGATGTGTTTGCACTGGCTGAACAAATACATGATGCAGAGGCCTAAATGAAGACACATGAATGGGGTGTGTAGACATCAGCTAGCAGCTGGGAAACAGGTGTCTCTCAGGCCTCTCATTCTTCAGCAAGTGTGGAATGTGCCCATGCCCTTGAGTGTATACATCTGGAGTGTATACATCTGGCTGTTGCTTTTGCTGCCTCTATCCCCAGGCCCAATCTGGCTTAAAGTCCAGGTTTTAAGTAAAAAAGATAAGAGGATTTTCTGTGTTCTGGGATAGGAAGCCAGGGATCTGTGTAGGGCTGCAGTTGGGTGCACATTAGTTTTGTGACAGGATGAGAGCTGCAGTGGTTTTATTAATCGTGATAGCCTGGGCTGGTTGTAGCTTCAGGTGAGGGGAGGGAGTCAGCAGTGGTGGTCCCGGAGACATCCATGTGCCCAGCCCTGGCCTTCCTGCCCTCAGGCACAGCAAAAGGCACCGCCACAGGCCCCGACTTCCTTCTCTACTCTCTGCAGCCCAGATGGGAAAACTTGGAGGCTACAATCTGAATATATTTTTCTCCCATTTTAACCCGAGCTGCCTAACACACAGTGGGGGCAGGGTGGGTGAAGGGCCTGGGGGAAAGCAGGGCTGGATCATGGATCCCGGGGGAAATTTAGAGATACAGAAGTGGCTGTCACCTCTCTGTGGAACCCAGCTCCATACCTGGTCCTTGCCACACCGCCCTTTCTACAGAGAATAGCTCTGGGGCGTTTGGGGATCCCTATGGCCCCGGGTGGCTTCCTGTCCCCCGCTGCCTGTGCTGCTTCCCTTGGCTGCTGGCAGAGCCCAACATGAAGGAGGAGGTTGCAGCCCTGGGAGCCTGAGGGAGCTCTTCCCTTGGCTGCTGGCAGAGCCCAACATGGAGGAGGAGGCTGCAGCCCTGGGAGCCTGAGGGAGCTCTTCCCTTGCCTGCTGGCAGAGCCCAACATGGAGGAGGAGGTTGCAGCCCTGGGAGCCTGAGGGAGCTCTTCCCTTGCCTGATGGCAGAGCCCAACATGGAGGAGGAAGTTGCCGCCCTGAGAGCCTGAGGGAGCTGCGTCTGACTGGGGCTTCTGCCTGGGGGTTTGCAAAGAGCTACTTATGAATATAGTCTCTCCAGATTCCTTGTTTCAAAGGAAGTGAGCATGAGCTAGCAAGTGTAGCAACCCCACAGCTGATAAACAACTTTGTCTTGGTTTTAAACCATCACATCTTCATTTCACATTGGAATAAAGTAAGTGAAACCTGCTACCCCAGCCTTGCCCATGTGTTCTGTAACCCAGTCTCCTTTGGTTGTGAGGGCTATTGTCAGAAATGTTATAAGAAAAGATTATGCATAAATTAAATCAAATGTAAAATTATGCTTATAATGTCACTTGAGTGAAAGGTAAGAGGGTAGAGTCACAGGCACTCAGCTGGGGTTTACCCACCCATCACTTACCACACTCATAAGAGTGTGGCACAGGTGAATGTCACTTGACATTGGTGACAGAAGAGAAAAGGCTGGCATGAAGGCCAGGTAGGGGAGAGGTGCCAGGCTGTGGGGCCAGGCCCTGGGCATGCTGGACCTGTGAGGTGACTGAACATCTAACTGCCCAGGCACTGGCCCTTTTCACATCAGTTGAGGTAAGAGGATGGGGGAGCACTCTCTGGAAGTCACACTGCACTGGGAGAATGGAGGAGAGTCTACAACTCACCATCCTAGTGTAGGTTTTAGAGTGAGATGGACTGTCTTGGAGAGCTAATGAAATGGGAGGAAAGCAGTCCCCCAGGTGCATCTGAGGGCCACAGCCTATGAAGTAAGCAGTGTGTGTGGGAGTGGCCTGTCCCTGTGAGAGGAGAAGTTTAAAGTTATTACAGCTGGTGGCTGCTGCTCAGCCATCCCTCTGCAGAGCAGGCAGGTCCTCAGCTGCATGTATATCTGAATGTCTTTTGGAGTGTTTAGAGAGTCCTCTATGTCTTAGAAATTTTGAAAAGAAAAACAAATTTCAATTCTAATGTTTATTAGTTTCCCTGAGCCAACTGGAAAAAAAATGTCCTTCACCTTGAAGTTTTAAGTGACACCCAAGGGTAGCCACCAGTGTCTCAGCCACTGAAGCCTTGTGCATGCTCCCACTACCAGTTTGATTTGCAGCCTCATGGTTGTGTTGTACTAAATGTTCTTTCTTCTGGCCTTGTCCAGTGAAAACGGTTCACATGGCTAACACCACTTCTTGAGATACGGGCACCATGTAAAGCTGAGAATGGATTGGTTTAGTTACTATTGTGCCTCCTCCTCACCCGAGAGGCCCATTTCTCCTGGTTGATTCATTAAGTGTATTAGTGCTGTCAGTCGCCTTTGGACAACTCAAATGACAAGTGGCTGTTGTTTCATAAAATGAAGGCTTTAGATGTGAAACACTCCTTTTCTCTTCTGCTTCTCTTAGGTGAAAGATTTTATTTTTTTAAAAAGGGTACATAGTCGTATCCCAGCAGGTGTAGTGTGATAACTGGCATGTGCTAGGCTATGGTTTCAGTGTGTATGGGCAATTCTTCAAGATGGAAAACCAAGTTTCACTGAGTTGCTGGAGCCGCACTCACCTTTCTCCACATCCCCCACCATGGGCTTTCACTTTTCTCCCGGGCTTGAATTTTTTTCACATCCATATTGTTTATACACACACACACACACACACACACACACACACACACACACACACACATCTGTCTGTCAGTGCAGTGGCTGAATCATGGGTCAGTGCAGCCTCAAACTCTTAGGCTCGAGTGATCCTTTCACATCAGCTTCTCAAATAGCGAGGACTACACTACAGGCATGCAATGCTACACCCAGCCAATTAAAAAAAATTTTTTGTAGAAACTGAGCCTACTTATGTTGCCCAAACTGGTCTTGAACTCATAGGATCCAGCGATCATCCCACCTTGGCCTCCCAAATTGTTTACATTACAGGTGTGAGCTACCAAACTCAGCCAAAAATATTTTTTAAAGAACAGTTACAACCAAATTATGAGTTATGATTGTGCCACTGCCCTCCAGCCTGGGCACCAGAGCAAGACCTTGTATCCAAAAATAAAGCAAAACAAAACAAGAACAAAAAACCTTATAACCAAATTAAACTTCGAAGATTGTGTCATCTGTGTCCCTCTCTGCCCTCCAGTTATCACCGTTAAATATAATGGTTATTGAGAAAACGGTTAGATATTATTAAGAAATTTCTATATCTACTCCAGCTGAGAATAGGTATTCTGATGTGGCCAAAACATTTTCTCACTGCTACCTTCAGGGTCTAAACTAGCAGGCAAAATCAGGACACCTGCAGAGGACAGTTGGCCATTTTCAAATAGAAACAGAAATACCCCCATTAATGAGAGTAATCCAGTGATTTTCAGAAAGACAAGTCAGACTGACATGCAGCACAGTCAGGGCACAATTACCCTGGAATAATCACTTCACACAGAATGGTTGTGGAGCCTTTCTAAGATGAGCAAATATGGGCAACATCATTCTTGCTTATTTATTCCCAGCCCCCGCTGCCCGCCTTATTCTGGCCTGATTCTGGCCCGCCTGATAATGGCCACCCCACAATGTGGTCAGCAGTGAGGTGCAGCGTGGTGAGAGAGGGGCTCAGGGATGGGATGAGGGTCTTTCCTGCATTATGAAAATGCCTAATAAGTTGTTGAAAAGATGTCCAAATGTTCTACTTCCTACCCTTAAATAGCTGCTAAGATGCATGACTCAACAGATCCTGGTAAGGGAAAGAGCATGCGCATTTCAAGTCTCAGCTCACTTCTTAATTAGCTGTGATACTCTGCGCATGTGACCCCAACTATTCGAGCCTGTTTGCCTGTCCACCCAAGACAATCCTAAGCAAAAACAACTGGTAGCTGGAGGCATCATGCTACCAGACTTCAAACTATACTTCAAGGCTACAGTAACCAAAACACCACGGTACTGGTACCAAAACAGATATATAGACCAATGGAACAGAACAAAGACCTCAGAAATAACACCACACATCTACAACCATCTGATCTTCGACAAGCCTGACAAAAACAAGCAATGGGGAAAGATTTTCTATTTAACAAATGGTGCTGAAAAAACTGGCTAGCCATATGCAGAAAACAGAAACTGCACCCCTTCCTTACACCTTAAACATTATCTCAAGATGGATTAAAGTCTTAAATGTAAAACCCCAAACCATAAAAACCCTAGAAGAAAACCTAGGCAATACCATTCAGGACATAGGTATGAGCAAAGACTTCATGACTAAAATACCAAAAGCAATTGCAACAAAAGCCAAAATTGACAAATGAGATCTAATTAAAGAGCTTCTGCACAGCAAAAGAAGCTATCATCAGAGTGAAAGGCAACCTACAGAATGAGAAAATTTTTGCAATCTATCCATCTGACAAAGGTCTAACATCTGGAATCTACAAGGAACTCAAATGAATTCACAAGAAAAAAAAAACCATCAAAAAGTGGGCAGAGGATATGAACAGACTCTTCTCAAAAGAAGATATTTGACTGAGTGTGGTGGCTCACACCTGTAATCCCAGCACTTTGGAACGTGGAGGCAGGTGGATCATGAGGTCAGGAGTTTGAGACCAGCCTGGCCAACATGCTGAAATCTTGTCTCTACTGAAAACACAAAAAATTAGCCAGACATATTGGCAGGTGCCTGTAATCCCAGCTTCTTGGGAGGCTGAAGCAGGAGAATCACTTGAACCCGGGAAACAGATGTTGCAGTGAGCCAAGATCCTGCCACTGCATTCCAGCCTGGGTGACAGAGCAAGACTTCGTCTCAAAGAAGAAGAAGAAGAAGGAGAAGAAGGAGAAGAAGAAGACATTTATGTGGCCAAAAAATATTTTAAAAAATCTCATCATCACTGGTTATTAGAGAAAGGCAAATCAAAACCACAATGAGATACCATCTCACACCAGTTGGAATGGCAATTATTAAAAAGTCAGGAAACAACAGATGCTGGTGAGGCTGTGGAGAAACAGAAACGTTTTTACACTGCTGGAGGGAGGGTAAATTAGTTCAACCATTGTGGAAGACAGTGTGGTGATTCCTCAAGGATCTACAAGCAGAAATACCATTTGACCCAGCAATCCCATTACTGGGTATATATCCAAAGGAATATAAATCATTCTACTATAAAGACACATGCACATTTACGTTTATTGCAGCACTGTTTACAATAGCAAAGACTTGGAACCAACCCAAATGCCCATCAATGATAGACTGGAAAAAGAAAATGTGGCACATATACACCATGGAATACTATGCAGCCATAAAAAAGAATAAGTTCATGTCCTTTGCAGGGACGTGAGTGAAGCTGGAAACCATTATCCTCAGCAAACTAACACAGGGAACAGGAAACCAAACACCATATGTTCTCACTCATATGTGGGAGTTGAACAATGAGAACAGATGTACACCGGAAGGAAACATCACACGCTGGGGCCTGTTAGGGGGTTGGGGTCAAGGGGAGGGAGAGCATTAGGACAAATATCTAATGCACGTGGGGCTTAAAACCTAAATGGCAGGTTGACAGGTGCAGAAAACCACCATGGCACATGTAAACCTCTGTAACAAACCTGCACGTTCTGCACATGTATCCCAAAACTTAAAGTAAAACAAAGAAACAAACAAAAATGCACTAACGCTCAGGGTGAGTGGGGCAGGGGCCGGGGTGGGGTGCGGATGGGTGGGTCCTGGCGTTTTATTCAATCAGTGGCGCTGGTGTGGGAACCACCCAATCGGGCGCACAGTTTGAGAAGAGAGGAGGGCGTGGCTTCCGGCGTTTGGCGGGGCCTTTGTCTCTCGCTGGTGCTGGTGCAGGAGCTTGGGATCCATCTCCTCTTTCGCCTCCTCCACCTTGGGAAATCCAGACAACTCCCTCACAGCCCCTGTTGCCCTGTGATCTGTAGGTCCTTGGGGACACACAGTTAAGGTGCTGTTACCATGGGGTGGTCTTTGCTCCCAGAGCGCCCAAGATGGTGGCGGGCCACTTCCATAATTTTGGCAGGCCACTTCCAAGATGGTGGCAAGCCTCCTGTTCTCTGACCTGGGGCTCTTGGCCTCACGGATTCCAAGGAATGGAATCTTGAGCCATGCGGTGAGTGTTATAGCTCTATTAGAAGCTGTGGGTCACGGAAGAGAACCGTGGAACCCAGTGACTAGTGTTCAGCTTGATTAGGATGAACCCAGGCGCTTAGCTGTGCAGGAACAATGGCAAGCCTTCAGCCCGATCGGGAGTGGCAATGGATGCCTCGCTGGATCAGGAGCAGAGCGGACACCTTGCTAGCCAGGATGGTCTTGATCTCCTGACCTTGTGATCCGCCCGCCTCGGCCTCCCAAAGTGCTGGGATTACAGGTGTGAGCCATCGTGCCCAGCCAAGAACTGTCTTCACAACAACTGGTGCTGGGGAAATTAGGTACCCACATGTAAAAGAATGAACCTGTGCCCTTCACTTATACTGTAAGAAAAAATTAACTAACTGGATCAAATACCTAAATGTAAGAGCTAAAACTACAAAATTCTTAGAATAAAATATAGGGGAAACACGTCATAACACTGGATTTGGCAGTTTTTTTTTTTTAAACAGGACACCCACAACACAAGAAACAAAAGAAAAATAGACGAATAGGAATCTATCCAGAATATGCAAAGAACAATTCAGCAACAATAAAACAAACTACTTGTTTAAAATATTGGCAAAAACTTAAGCAGACATTTCTCTAAAAATTATGTAAAGTAGCTAATAAGCACATGAAAAGACACTCAACAAAACTCATCATTAGTGAAATGCAAATCTAACCCCAAATGACATATCACTTAATACCCATCAGCATAGCTACTACCAAAAGAAAAAAAAAAACAGAAAATCCGAAGTGTTGGTGAGGACGTGGAGCAATTAGAATCCTTGTACACTGTTGGTGGAAATGTAAAATGCTGCAGCTGCTATAAAATAACAACACAGTAACTAAAAAATTTACACATAAAATCACCATACGATCCAGCAATTTCACATCTGGGTATGCAGCAAAAGATATGAAAGCAAAGACACAAAATAATATACATACACCTAGGTTCATAGCAGCATTACTCACATCACCAAAAAGGTGTTTGAATTACTCAAGTGTTGTTTGAATTACCATCAATGATTAATAGATAAAATGTGATTTATACATAGAGTGGAATGTTATTCAGTTATGTAAAATAAGGAAATTCTGACACATGGTACGTCATGCATGAACCTTAAGGACATTGTGCAAAGTGACATGAGCCAGTCATAAAAGGACAAATACTGAATCATTCCACTTATGAGATACTTAGAGTAGTTAAATTCTAGAAACCCAAATAGAAGAGTAGTTCTTAGGAGCTAGAGGGGGAGTAACAAGGAGCTTATTTAATGGGTATAGAGTTTTGTTTCTGCAAGTTGAAAGAAGGTCCCTATGAGTGGTAATGACAGTTGCAAAACAATGTGAAAGTAGTTAATTTTTCTGAGCTGCACACTTAAAATAGCTAAAATGGTTAATTTTATGTATACTTTACCACAATGTAAAAAATAATTTTAAAATAAACTATAGCTATCTGCAATATCATGAATTAATATCATAAATATAATGTTGCATAGAAGAAAGTAGATGTAAAAGTATACATATTACACAATCTCACTGTTATAAAATCCAAAAAGTGAACACAACTGAGCTTCTGGCTTCCAGTAATAATGAAGTAAAGTAGTTTGTTGAACACTTCACAGATAACTATAACAAAGCTCTTTGGTCACAGGGCTGCAGCACTGCAATCCCAGCATGCACCAGGCTCAGGGAGAGTGCGCTAATCACTGGAGGAAGGGACGAGGCTCCGCGCCTCTCGCTGGTCTTGCTGGGAGATGCAGTCTCATAAACACTCCCAGCCCTTTGGTCACAGGGCTGCAGCACTACAATCCTAGCATGCACCGGGCTCCGGGAAAGTGCGCGTCACCGGAGGAAGAGGCAGGGCTGTGCGCGCCTCCCTAGGATTGTTGGAAGATGCATTCTCATAAACACTCCCAACCCTTTGGTCAAAGGGCTACAGGACTACAATCCCAGCATGCACCAGGCTCCAGGGCGAGGCGCAGCCCTGGAAGAAGGGGCAGAGTGGTACCCGCCCCACCTAATATGCTGGGAGCTGTAGTCCGTTACCTACTCTCAGCCTGTTTGTCGGTAAGCTTCAGAGCTATAATCCCAGCATGTACCGGGATCCGGGGTCCATAGCCCTGGAGGGAGGGGCAGAGCGGTGTGGACTTCCCGGTGTCCAAAGCACTGCTGAGTTCTGATGCTATGCCGACTCTTTGCAAGGAGAGTGAGTACAGAGGTGCACCTGGAGGGCAGGTCTGGGCTGAGCAGTGAGGAGGGTATTACCCTACAAAGATACCTTACCTTTTCCCAAATCGGGCGGGTTGTCCTCACCCGCTTGGCCCTATCCTTCTCAGGTTCCTCTTTCAGTTGCACCCAGGGTTCTTTCCAGAGGAGTACGTCTTCTGCAGCCCAGGGTGCTGCCTTCTTTCCTAAACTGCGTGAGAACTTTCCTGATGTCCAAGACACTGTCATTGTGCCGCAGCCCTCTTTTTTCTCTAGCCAGAGCACGCACTCAACCGTTTTTGAGAGAAATCTTCCACCTGGCCTGCTTGTGAGCAGCTTCAGAGCTCTGCAGGGGTGACAAGGGCTGTGGCTTCTTGGAAAGGTCACTTTCAATGGCGCCTTTTTCACGAATGTGAAAGTCTAGGCATCAGAAAGGTTAATTATTGGGTTGCATAAAATCTGCTAAGAGCAAAGGAAAAAACCCCATTTCTGAGGCGTGAGTCTTGTGAGCCATTTTCATCAACCCACTTAAGTGGACAAGCTCCAAAATGCAACCTGAAGCTACTGAGTATTTAGGCATTTTACACTTGAAATCATTGGTCTCATCTCAAGTCAGGCCTGGCTTGCCAGTGGCTCAGAGCCACAAATGGGACCTGATACCTCAGGAACAGATAGTGTTCCAGCTTTACCGGAGGAACTTTTAAGACGTGGAGCACTTGGGGTCATTTGAAACCCGCTATCTTCAGTAGGGACTTTTAATTCTACAGAGCATGTGCATTTTGATTTTATGTGTCCTCAAGCTGACCCTTTGTTCATTTTAATAGTAAAAAACACATTCCTGGGTGGAGATTTAAGATGCTAGTGAGGCATGCAATGTATGCACAAATATGTACAGCTACTGCACATGTATAACCAGAAGACCAGTCAGAACATGCTTACCGTAACACTTCTTTCCACCTTCTTATGAAATAATCATGCAAAACTCCCATAAAGAGGGTTTCTCCAGCAATAATTAATGCTGTCTCACTTTTATGAGCAGGCTGCCCTGGAATCTCTTTCTCAGACTGTACCGTCTATTCTGCACTTAATTTTCAAAATATTCTTTTTTTTGCAATAAATTATGCTGTACTTCTTTTGCTGTGTGTCTCTTGTTTAAATTATTTTAAACTAAGAAGATAAGAACCAAGGTATTACATCAGCCATCAACATTTCTGGTGCCATGACCTGCGGAGACGTTTGTCTGCTTCATTAATTTCAGTTTCCCTTTACTTGCAGTGAATACTATGGCAGTTTCAGACTACCTGGTTAACTATCGCTGCTGGTTCCAGCGCTGTTCCAGTAAAGTTCTGGGGGAAACGTTTTTAAGTCACCCGCATTCTTTAGAGAGAGAATATATGTCCGCTCTCCTTTTCTCTGCGGCTTCTGTAGTATCGATAAATACGCTAACCACATGGGTTGCCCTCAACATTTCATATTTGGGCTATTTGCCGCTCAGTTTCACATCTTTCTGGCCACAGTTTAGACTCAGCTTGTCGTTTGCTGTCCGTTCAGCAATACTCGATCGCCACCTAGTGGCTATTGTAATTTATTTTCTGGTCAGGTTTTCTGTTTACAAAATTTTTGTTTTGTTTTGAGCAGCACATTAAGAGAACACTGTCCCTTCAGGCTTTATGCATTTCCCAGCTCCTTGAAATTGTTCTTCAACCGGCTTTCTTTGCTGAACAAAAGATGCACAGTCAAGCAGATGCCAAGTCGTAGGGATTGCATCTGAGCATTCCAGGTGTTGTAACTGGGCATCACAAATGGCAAACCAGTGAATTAGAGCAAGGCTTGTCAGCCAGACATCTGCCCCCCAGCCCGCAGTGGGGGTCATCTCCGTAGGGCTGGAGATGTCCACCGCTGGGGGAGCTAGGACGGTGTATGGCAAATGCCTATGACCTCCTAGAGCTTCAGTTAATGGGGTTTCGAGGGGATGCGCTGGACCCCTTGGTGTTTTCACTTGGCTCATGAGGACGCCCACAGCCTCCTGGACTTCAGTAAATGTTCTGTCATTGCAGGATTCTCTCGGCACCATGGGAGCCGCTTCCTCTACTGTCACTGAAACACCCCTGGGATGTATATCTAAAAATTAGAACAGCTTTTGGCTAAATGAACTTAGAAAAAAGAAAACCTTATCTTCTTTTGTAATACTATTTAGCCTGCCTACAGATTAGCTGACAAAACATGGCTGGAGAATGAGACTGTGAGCTTTAACTCCATCCTACAGCTAGATCTTTTCTGTAGCAATCAGGGAAAATGGTCTGAAGTACCCTATGTGCAAGCCGTTCTGGCCTGACAACAAAATCCAGCTCTACGCAGCACCTGTGGGCTAAAGCCTAGTAAGCCAGAAAGCCCCTCAGAACAATTGGAAGATCATCTCTTATTAAGGGGAAGGGACCCCAGACCCCACAGCCCAACACCAGCTCCAGACAGGGGCACTCAGGGGTCCACACCTCCTTTAGAATCCCCAGCATCCCCACACTATCAGAGTCTTCTGTAGAATCTAAGCTTGTTTCACCTCCTCCTTATGCTCCTTTCTATCGGCCTTTGCCAGGTACAATAGAGACCAGCCCAGCTGCAGTTACTCACAGTGGGACTTCACACCATCCAGGGCCAGAGAAATTTCTCCCCTTACAGAAAGTCCCAAATGGAGAGAGGACCATCAGAGTGCTTGTTCTACTCTCAATAAATAATCTAATCCAATATAAGCAACAACTCTGATGGCCCTCAGACAACTTCAGCGCATTTACTGAAGGCTTCCAGGCTCTAACTTTGACCACCATTCAACTGTACCGTCCATAAATGGACCGAATGACTGCTGCCAACTTAGCTGCACAAAATTTTGCTTATTAGCAAAAAATAGAAAATACTTAAAACGTTTGTTGCTTTCACCATTTTAATGCAAAATACTTTTGCAGCATAAATGTCACCATAAGGTGGAGCCTTGGGAATCCAGTATAAACTATCTCAGAAAACCTCAATGGGTCTGCAACAAGCAGCAGAGGGCCTCAATAGACTTCAACAATGTCTGGACTCCATGGCCACTGTAGTCCGACAAAAGCAAAAAGCCTGGGATCTTCTCCCAGCCGGGCAAAGAGGAACATGTTTATATCTAAAAGAAGAATGCTGTTTTTGAGATCAATCAGCCCGGTTTAGTCCAAGAAAATATTAAAAATATCATCACCCAGGCAGACAAAATTGAATCTCTATGAACTTCCATGGGACCATGAAAGCAATGTCTATTACCTGCCTTACTCTCTTTAATAGTAACAGCCATTACTATACTTTCAGCTTTTACTTTTGTTCCAATTTTGTTTAAAATGTTAACTGATTTCTTGCTCTCTTGCTTACGGCAACTCCATGTTTGCATGATGGTTTTGCAAGGCTTTCAACATTTGGCTGCCAACATCTTGCCCACTGGTTCCACGAATTACATGGTTTACACCCAGTTAGATCACACAGGAAGAAACTTTAGGGCCCAGACTAGGTAGAAATAACACCCACTCAGCAGGAAACAGCTCCAGAAAAAGTGACCTAGCCCCTCAACCTCCAATATGATTATGACCCTAAGATCTCTTAGGGGGAAACTGAGGCAGAATAGATCAGAATAGATAGTCAAGAAAATGACCATGATCTCGGGATACAGAAATGTGGGGAAATTATAAATAGAACTACCATATGATGCAGCAATCTCATTGCTGGGTTTATATCAAAAGGAAACAAAATAAGCATGTCAAAAAAGATAACTGCACTCTCATGTTTATTAAGCAGTATTCAAAATAACCCAAACCACTATTTCTTCTAAGTATTTCTAAATTTACCTTTTTTTCATATATTACACCCTAAACTTTTAAAGGTTTCATGTCTGGTTTCCAATTTCTGAAACTTACAAGTCACTGATTCTTTGTTGCCTTCCTATTTAGAGTCTGGTAAAACAATTAAATGCTTTTTATTTCTTCTCAATCTAATCTTCATATATAAATATATTTATATTTTCTATTAATTTGCCTTCTATAACATATATGACTACATTAATTGTGATCAGCATTTCACTTTACTAGCCCTCTTTTTGGCTCAGCCTATTTTAATATGTAATTTGTATGTTGTACATTAAATTGTTTTACAACCCTTTCAATACTTTCTTTTCATTTGCCTCTTTTCCAAAGATAGCTTGACAAGCTCGTAGTTTCTTTCCACATTATTTTGGTTTCTTGTTTTTCCATTATATTGACTTAAACATTTAAATATAAATTCAATATCTGAGATTTATGTGCCATATAATTTCTTCTGATGCTTCACCCCAGTAGCTCATCTCCTTGTGTGCGACATAATTTATAATTTAATCCTCACATATGGGAGACACCGCATTCCAATGCCTGCAGGCAGTTTCTCTTTGTTTATTCCATTTGCCTTGTCAGAAGGGAACAACCCACACGGACCTGACATTCTTGTAATCAGGCACATCTGAGTGGAGCCCTGGTCTCTTAGGTTGATTACTTCTCTGGATCATTACCTTTATTTACTTCCAGTCCTGGGAGGTTTTCTTAATTTCCTTTCAACTATATTAGGCATTCTGTGAATTCTTGTAACTTCTTGGTGATTTTAATTGTCTGCATTAAGTGTTTAAAGTATATTATTTTTCTGAAAAGCAGAAATATCAATAATTGCATATATGAGTGAAATATTTTACATAGATTTTCTATGGCATCTATCACCATGAGAAATTCCAAGTTTTTTTCATTTGAAACACCCCTCTCATCAATAGACCATATTGTAATAATTTGTAGAGTGTGATTACTTTTATACCATTAGAAAATTAATTATATATTATGTACATATTTTTGAAATACTCCACTGCAATAAATAGTATATGGTCAGAAGTATTGTTTTCTCTAACCTAAAACTAATATGAGTAAAATTATCTACCTGAATTCAGACCTTTTGGCTTCAATGGCCATTCTGTCTCATTAGCACTTCCCTGATCCATAAAAGACATCATTCGTACTTTCTGCTTAATTCATAATTTATTGAAATGAGTAATTTAATGTTATAATGTTTTATGGCAATTTAGGACATTTTCAATAAATATATTGAGCTCAAGGCCCTGGCTAAGTATTCCTTTTGTACTCAAAATCAGATTTTTCTGGCACAACTTCATTGCCTGCAATGGTATTTATAAAAAGTATGAATGCCAGCACATGGACTATTTCAATACTGTACTCATTTTTTCATGTATAAACATTTCATTAGCTATGAAACAAACCAAATACAAATGCTGAATGTACAGTATATATCAACAAATGCAGATTCTTCACCTAAGAAAACAATAAAAGACGAATTTTCTGTGACATGTCACCTGTTCATTAGTTCTTTAATATGATTTAGGCTATTCCAAATATAAGAAAATGTATGCATCACTATTTATGTTGTCTCAACATTTTTTATCTAGGTCCTGAAGGACATAAAAAAGAATGTATATTGTCAGATTTATTTTTATAGATTTTAGATGTTTCTTTTGCTGTATTTTCTGTGCATACTACTATGAATATATGGAGACAAGGACAAATGAGCATTTAAGTGGTTATATGAATTTTGCTTATATGGCTAATTGCTTATATGGATGTTGTAAATGACAAGATAAAATAGTAAAGTTTGGTAAACTTATCTGTGCCCTGTGAACTTTAGTTCACTTACTGTATAACTTAATTCAGTCACTAATAATTAATTTAAAAAGTGTTTTTTAAAAACTGCAAACCACATTTTATTACACATTTCTGAATCAGGAAGGGGTAAACTGTGACACAGCTTTCTCATGCCACTGACTTTTTTGGGGAGAAACATTCTGCAATAAAATAAGAGTTTCCAAACTCTATTTATAAAAAAGCTTGAGTTTTCTTCTGTGATTAACCTTCACTCCTCAGTCCCTTTTACCCAAGGAATGGTTCCTAGGTCATCTTTTGGAAGTTTAGTTTCTGGAAAGTTTTCGGCAAACCTCTCCTGAGCTTTGTCCCAGTTGTTGTTGTTCTTGTTTTGGAGAAGGTGAGTCTCTTTAATTGAGGATGGTTTGTCTGTCTCCAATCCTGCATGTGTTTGCCAAGGCTGAAGCTGTACTGGAGTTTTTATTCTCCCACCATCCTTCCCCAGGCCTTCTCCTGTTTTCAACACATCTTTTTCAACATCTTCTGACCTTTGTCGCTATCAGTAATTTCAGAATGAACAGATGCAGGAGCATCATCTCTTTGGAAATTTCCTTCACTTCCAATCTGCTCCCTATGTTTTCCAGCTCTATCTTTATATTTTTGATTCTCCAGTATCTTATCATCTTTGTAGTCTGTATTCTGTAAACCATATTTTACTCGTATATTTTTAAAATCCTTTTCTTCTTTCCAACTCGTTTCCTTCTTAGTTAATGATGGACCAACAAATGATTCATCTTTCTTGTCAAGGAAAAGGTGAGCTCTAACCTGCCCTGGTTCACATCCAACACAGCTATTACTGCCAGGGTGAATGTAATAAGATAACACAGTGTCTCCAACTTTCACTTTATCTCCATGCTCAGGTTCATAAGGGTCACATTTAGTTTTCAGCTGAACAATCCATTTTACATTAACAATTGTTCCATTTTGACTGTCTGATCCAAAAGGACATAACTTTGTAAGTCAAGATCAAAATAGATTTCTGCATGAAACTTACACCAACTTCAGGGATTTGAAGAGTATGCTCCATATCATTTTCTCTTCCAATTGTAGCAGGTTTTGCAGCAGTAATGATGAAGAATGATCCTGTCTGTAGCACAGGTGATCTAATGACAATCACTCTCATATATGAGGCCACACTTTTTCCTCATCTTCCTCCTCAGTATCTTTTGCAGTTGCATTGCCTTTACTGGTAATGCCTTCATCATAACTACCCTCGGTCTGAGAGTCTGTAATTTCACCTTCTTCTGGTTCACTATCAGTCTCTGTGATTTTCTCATCCTTAAAGATGAATTGAGATGTTTTCATTAAAAGGAGATTCCATAGGATTTCCACTAACTGGAACAGTGAATTTTGGGGATTATTTTTGTGATGAATGCCTATTTTGGCTTTTTTTTTTCACATTTGTGAAATTGTCTTTCCCGTTGCAGCTTGTATGTTCAACACTGAAGGCTTCTTGATCCTCTGAATTCAAATCCTTTTCCTCATCGTTTTTTTGTAGAAGAATCCTTTCTTTTCTCAATTTTTCGTTTTTGTTTCGTGCTATAAGTCTGATAAGGTTGCAAATCTACTCGAGAATGAAATCGATAGCGACCACTTTCCACATCACAGTGGTAATAAATTAAATCATAATATATTTGATTCTCAGAATCTTAATAGAAACCAGTGCTGTGGTCAAAATACAGTCCAGTATTTTCATCATCACTAAATCCAGTCTGTGACAAAGCCGCTTCTGCTGCAGCTCTCAAACTTCCAGCTAATGACGAACCTTCTAAGGACGTATCTTGTGCTGCTAATGCAGATGCTGGCTCCTGTGAATTGGAGGCAGATGACCCTCTTGTCTACACTTAACATTTGCTGTCCTATCAGTACCAGGGTGAGTGTCATTTTCTACTTATAACTGGTCGTTAGAATTCAAAGCAGGACTTTCAATATCCTGATCTTGCTGATTTGACAGTTCAGTCACTCACTTTATTTGGAAGACTAACATCATTAGGGTAGGTCTGATAATAATAATCTGAGATTGACCAAGGAGCATGGTTCTCTGCGAGTACTTCTACATCAGACTTTTATTACCTCCATGTCTCCCACAGCGGAGTACGTTACTGAGTTCTTCCAGCTGCGTGCGGAGCTCCTGGCGGTTGCTCGTGTCGCTCTGAGCAGCCGTCCTGGGCGAGGCCATAGCTTCTCCCGTTCCCGCACCTGCCGCCTGCAGCTCCGCGTTCGGGTTCCAGCTTCTCCGCCCTCCTTCTCCGCTGGGCCAGCTCGGGCTCGGGGAGGGGGAGGAGCGGCCACAGCGAAGGCGCTGGCGGCGGCTACGGGCAGAGGCCGCGAGTTCGGGACCAGACGGCTGCGTTCTCGGAGGGGCTGCGCGGGGCCGGAGCGGGGGCCGGCGGAGCCACAGCCCCGGGGGCGCGCGGGCAGCCACAGGCAGCCTCCCCGGCCAGGAGGCCCCGAAACGCGGAGCCTGACGGGGCTGCGGCAAGAGCAGGGGGACGGCGATGGCCCTGCCGGATCTGCGTGCCTGGAATCCGGGGAACGACTGCGCCTTCCCCAGCCCCGGGGGCGCGGGAGGAGCGTCGAAGTCCAGGGGCCGGAAGCGCTCCGGCCGTTCCCGAGTTGAGCTGCGAACAGCGGCCAAGCGTGTTTTAAATCGAGCTTCCGTGTGGCGAGCTATGACCTGCTGGTTACTCTTATTTTTTTTCTCCATTCGTTGAGCTATGATTGACAAATTGAAAAGTGTGTATTTTTAGGGTGTACAATAGAGTGTTTTGAGATGTCAGTGGTCTTTAAATCACCTCAGTTAAGCTAGTTAGCCTGTCTATCCCCTCACATAGTGAATACGCCTCTGTGTGTGGTGAGAGCACCTGAGATCTACTCTTGCAGCAAATTTCAAGTACACAGTATTGTTAACTATAGTCACTATTCTGTACGTTAGGTCCCCAGCAGTTACTCACCTTGTAACTGAAGGTGCGCCCCTTCCATGGAAATCTCCCCACTTTCCCCACTTCCTAGCCCATGGGAACCAGCGTTCTACTGTTTCCATGGCTTTTTTAAATTTTTATTTACTTTTTTAGATTTTACATACAAACGAGATCATGCAGTAGTTGTCTTTCTGTATTCAGCTTATTTCACTTAGCATAATGTCTTCAAGATTTATCAATATTGTTGTGGATGAAAGAGTTTCATTTTTATTAAAGCTGAAATTATGTCTCTCAGTTTATCTGTATCAGAGGAATGCAGATACCCTTGATGATCCTGATTTTATGTCCTTTGGCTATATACTCCTAATTGGGATTAATGGTAGTTCTAGTTTAACAATTTTAAGGAACCTCCATACTGTTTTTCATAATAGCTGCACCAATTGACATCCTCAGCAACAGTGCACAAGTGTTCTCTTTTTCCACACCCTAACACTTTTTATCTTTTGACTTTTTGATAATAGGTATCCAAACACCACGATAAGGTGATACCTCATTGTGATTTTAATTACTGTGATAATTAGTGATGTTGAGCATTTTTTATATACCTGCTGGCCATTTGTATATCTTTGGAAAAATTGCTATTTATATATTTTGCCCAATTATTAATCAAGAAATTGCTTTTAATTCTGCTGTGGGTTTTTTGTATTGATTACTATGACATATATTTTGGATAGTAACATATTATCCTACATATGGTTTACAAATATTTTCTCCCATTCCATATAATGCCTTTATATTTTGCTGATTGTTTCCTTTATTGTGCAGAAAATTTTTACTTTGACATAGTTCCACTTGTTTATTTTTGCTTTTGTTGACTGCGCTCCTGGTGTCAAATCCGAAACATCATTGCCATGACCAGTGTCAAGGAGGCTTTTCCCCATTTTTTTTTTTAGAGGATTCATGATTTCAGTTCTTATGTTTAAGTCTTTATTTCATTTCAAATTCATTTTGTGATGACATGAGAGAAAGGTTTACTTTTTGTCTGTGCATATCGAGTTTTTCCTACACCACTCCTTGATGTGTTTATCCTTTCTCCATTCTGTGGGATTGGTCGAATGTATATTTGTGAGTTTATTTCTGGGTCCTCTATTCTGTTCTATTGGTTTTTATGTAGGTACTATACTGTATTAATGACTACAGCTTTGTAATATAGTTTGAAATCAGGAAGTGTGAGGCTTTCAGCCTTTTTGTTCTTCTCAGTATTTGGCTATTTGAGGTCTTTTGTGGTTCCATACTAATTTTAAAATTGTCGTTCTACATTTTAATAAAATGGCATTAAAATTTTGATAAAAATTTAACTCTGTAGATCACTTTGTGTAGTATGGATATTTTAACAATATTAATTTTTAGAATCCATGAACACATATTTCCCATTTTGTATTCTTCATTTTCTTTCCTCAACATTTTATAGTTTTCAGTATGCAGATCTTTCATATTCTTTGTTAACTCATTCCTAAGTATTTCATTCTATTTGATAATATTGTAAATGGAACTATCTTTATTCCTGTTTCAGATATTTTGTTGTTACTGTAAAAAAAATGCAACTGATGTTCATATGTTAATATTGTATCCTGAGAATTTACTGACTTAGTTGGTTAGTTATAACAGGTTTTTTTTTTTCTGGTAAAATGGTGGTTATTCTGAATTCTGGTTAAACTTTAAATTGATAATTGCTATTATCATTTCAAAATTATTTAAAATATGACCAGATGGATTCCTGCTTTCATGAATTCAATGGAATTCAAATCTTCCCATTTAAAATAATTTTGTCTGGTTGACCTAGACCCCGGGGATCGGGGGCACCCCGTGGGAGCCCGGAGATTCGCCTGGGGGTGGGAGGGAGAAGCCGTCAGAGAGGGGGCTGAGCTGGGGAAGCAGAGAGGGGCTCGGGGACAGCCGGGAGGAGAGAGGGTCGTGTCGGAGACCCAGTGGGGAGAGAGAATGGGCCGGAAAAGGAGGAAGGGTGAGAGTGGGCAACAGGACGGCTTCCCGGCGCGGCAGGGAACTTTGCTGAAACTGCGGGCCCCAGGGAACAGCGCGGGCAGGGTGGGAGGGAGTGGAGAGGACCCAGCAGACCCGAAGGTCAGTGTGGAGAAAGGGACGTTTCCCGGTTCCTTCGCCTCTGCCCAGCGTTCTGCGGGCGTGGCCCCCTCCAGGGGCAGGGGAGGAGGTGGCTCCCGGCGGGCTCGGAGAACTAAGGGGCGCACACCCGCTTCGCAGGGCCGGGGTGACAGGGGAAGCCTGAGACGGCTGCGGATCTCGCTGGCCCCGTGGGTGGGCGCGGGGGACGCGGGAGGGGCCGAGCTCACGGGGCCAGCGCCGGGGCCTGCAGGTGGCCCTGGAGGAATCTGCAAGCACCCGCCCGTGCAGCGGGCCTTCCGGGAGACCAGTGTGGACAGCGCCCTGGACACGCCCTTCCCAGCTGGAACATCTGTGAGGCTGGAATTTAAGCTCCGGCAGACAGGGAAGCGGCTGGAGGAAGGCCTGGAAGAAACCCAAGTGCAAAGCCCAGCCCGAGAGGAGGAAGCAGAAATGCCTGACCTGCGTCAAAATGGACTGTGAGGATAAGGTTCTGGGCAGGATGGTTCGCTGCCCTCCAGAGACGCAGACTCGGCGGGAGCCTGAGGAGCACCAGGGGGCCGGGTGCAGCCCGGCGGAGCGGGCGGTGAGGACCCCACGGCTGCCGCTTCCCTGCACGGTTCGCCTCCTCCAAGGCCCGGCCCCCAGCGGAGCCCAGCGCTGAATCGCATGGCGCCCCCTGGAGCCCTGGCGGGGAAAACCAGTGGAAGACCCACCTCCCAGGGAGAGGACCCCACTGTATCCCCAGATAATAAAACTGTCCTCTCCCCCAAAAAATAAATAAATAATTTTGTCTGGTCTTTGAAAATGTGTATCCCCTGTGTACTGGTCAAAATGCTGCCCATTTATCTATATGCCTAATTAGCCAACTTTTTAATGAAGTTATTTAACATTCTTTTTTATTATGAAACAAAACAGTAAATTTGTTAATGGTTTTAATATCATCTAATATGATTGAAAATATGTCAATTTTTCATTGCCAAAGAATCTTTGTGTTATTTATTTTACTCTGTTATGTATTCTGTCCATAAAGGTCTAAGTGGCTTAGAATCTTGCCTAACATATTGTATGTGCTAAGTACTAACTACTCTAATTCATCAAATTATCTTTCTATACCATTCTTAAAATACAATATTATTTTCTATTTATTTTTATTAAAATTTTTTGCCTAATCTAATTATTTATGAAAATTATGAGGTCTATTCAGTTTGTCCTCTTGATAAAAGCCAAAGTTTTTTTTTTTCTCTCTTTTTTTTTTTTTGAGACGGAGTCTCCCTCTGTTCCCCAGGCTGGAGTGCAGTGACACAATCTCGGCTCACCACAACCTCCGCTTCCCGGGTTCAAGTGATTCTCCTGCCTCAGCCTCCCAAGTAGCTAGGACTACAGGCATGTGCCACCACGCCTGGCTAATTTTTGTATTTTTAGTAGAGATGGGGTTTCACTATATTGGCCAGGCTGGTCTTGAACTCCTGACCACGTGATCCGCCCTCCTCAGCCTCCCAAAGTGCTGGGATTATAGGCTTGAGCCACCTCACCAGGCCTTTTTTTTTATCTCTTTATTAATACGTGAGAGAGTACAAATGCCGCTCCCTTACAGAAGCATGTTGCATAGTGATGAAGTATGGGCTTTTGGTGTGACAATCATCTGAATGTTGTTTATTGTCCCAATTAGTTATTTTCTCATTCCTAAACCCTCTCCAACCTCCCATCTTTCTGAGTCTCCAGTGTCTATTTTTCCAGTCTCTATATCCAAGTGTATGCTTAATTGAGTTCCCACTTACAACTGAGAAAATACTGAATTTGATTTTCTGTTTCTGAGTTTTTTCACTTACAGTAATGGCCTCCGGTTTTATTCATGTTGTTGCAAAAGACATGATTTTATTCTTCATGGCTGAGTAGCATTCCATGGTATACTTGTATAGCACATTTTCTTTATTCGATTATTGATTGATAAATTTAAATTGATTTCATATATCGGCTATTATGAATAGTGCTGTGATAAACATGTCAGCATGGGTATTTTCTTTATGTAACAAATTGTTTTCCTTTGGGTAGATACCAAGTAGTGGGAGTGCTGAATCAAATGGAAGTTCTATTTTTAGTCTATTTTGAAATCTCCATACTGTTTTCCAGAGGTTGTAGAAAGTTACTTTCCCACAAACAATGTATAAGTGTTCTCTTTTCCCTGTATCCTTGCCGATAGCTCATTTTTCTGCTTTTTAGTAATAGCCATTCTGCAGGGTGTAAGTTGGTATCTCATTGTGGTTTTTAATTGGCATTTCTCTGATCATTGACAAGGTTGAGCATCTTTTACGTGCTTGTTGACCATTGACCATCAGTGTCTTTCTTTTTTTTAATGTTCATGTTCTTTGCTTGCTTTTTAATGAGGTTACTTGTTTTATTTTTGTTGAGTTGTTTGAGTTCCTTGCATATTCTGGACATTAGATCTTTGTCACATGCAAAACTCGTAAACATTTATCTCATTCCATAGGTTTTCTGTTCACTGTGTTAATTAGGAAGCTCATTTTCAGGAGCTTTTTAGTTTAATTGAGTTGCTGTTGTCTATTTTTGTTATTGTTACATCTGCTTTTGAGATCTTAGTCATAAATTCTTTGTCCAAGTCAATGTCTAGAAGAGTTTATCCTAGAGTTTCTTCTAGCATTTTTATAGTTTCAGGTCTTACATTTTAGTCTTTTAATCCATATTGAGTTGATTTTTGTATATGGTGGGACATAGGGGTCCCATTCCATTCTTCTGCATACGGAAATATAATTTTTCCAGCACAATTTGTTGAATAGGATGTCATTTCTCCAGTGTGTGTTTTTGTTGACTTTGTAAAAGATCAGTCATTTGTAGGTATGTGGCTTTATTTCTAGGTTCTCTATTCTGTACCATTGATCTATGTGTCGATTTATATCAGTACCATGCTGTTTTGGTTACTACAGCCTTCTAGCATAATTTTAAGTCAGATAATGTAATATCTCCAGCTTTATTCTCTTTGCTTAGATTTGCTTTGACTATTCAGGCTCTTTTTGTGGTTCCATAAGAATTTTAGTGGGTTTTTTTTCTAATTTTATAAAAAATACCATTGGCATTTTGGTAGGAATTGCATTTAATATGTAGATTGTTTTGGGCAGTAGAGTCATTTTATTGATCATAATTCTTCCAATCCATAAGCATGGGATGTTTTTCTCATTTGTGTCATGTACAATTTCTTTCATCAGTGTTTTGTAGTTTTCCTTGAAGGGATCGTTCATCTCTTTGACCAATTGTATTTCTAAGCATTTTACCTTTTTTTGTAGCTATTGTAAAAGGAAGTGACTTTTTAATTCAGTTCTCAGCTTGATCATCATTAGTGTATAAAAATGCTATCAACTTTTGTACGTTGATTTTTGCATCCTGAAACATTATTAAATTTATTTATCAAATCTGAGTTTTTTGGTGGTCTTTAGAATTTTTGTATATATGATATTATATTATCATCAAAGAGGGACAATTTGACTTTCTAATTACAACCACATAGATGCTCCCACCAAGATCAATAGACAGAGTCTCTGGGGAGGGCACAAGTGATGGTATTTCTTTAAGCTGGCCATGTGATTATGGCTGGAAGCATGGGCCGAGAGCCACTTAGCTAAGCCTTGCCTCTCAAGTCTGTCTGTCTTTCTTTCTTTCTTCCTTTCTTTCTTTCTGTCTGTCTGTCTTTCTTTCTTTTCTTTCGACAGAGTTTTCACTCATTGTACAGGCAGGAGTGCAGTGGCACCATCTTGGCCCACTGCAACCTCCACCTCCCAGGTTCAAGGGATTCTGCAGTCTCAGCCACCCGAGTAGCTAGGATTACAGGCACCAGCCACCACACCTGGCTAATTTTTGTATGTTTTAGTAGAGACATGGTTTGGCCATGTTGCCCAGGCTGGTCTTGAACTCCTGACCTCAGGTTATCTGCCCACTTCCGCCTCCCAAAGTGTTGGGATTACAGGCATAAGTCACCACACCCGGCTGCCTCTCAAGTTTCAATGTGCATATGAATTATTTCCGATTCCAGGCTCTCTCTTAGTAATGTGATTCTGCAGGTTTGGAAGGGGTCCATGAATTGGCTTCTTTAAAAAGTCTCCTCTTAATGCTGATGTTTCTTCCACGACATCCAATATAGTAGCACTCAGCTAGAGAAAGTAGGCACAGCACAGAGCTCCTGACACCCAACACTGTTACCACAACACAAATACTTTTGGCTCAAAGTGGAAGCCACCAATCGCCATTTTCAAACATGTCATTTTCTGCTGGCTCTTTGCAGTTTAGAAAGCCTAGAGAAGGCATCAATGTTTGAGTAAGTCTGCATTTGGAAAACATGTACACATGAGTTAATACAATGTTTATTGAGCACATACTATGTGTTCAGAAGTCTGTTACAGAGCACTGTTCAGGAAACATTACATGATGTGAGTTAATCCTCATAGCACCCTGGGGAGTTGGGTGCTAAGTTTTCTGTAATTTTCAGGACTTAAATGAAGGGCCTAGCATTTCTATTTTTTCTTCCATTTTAAAAATTATTTACCTGGAAAATAAAATGTGCAGAATAAAAGCTATATCGACAGCTGAAGGGATAGAGAAAAAAGGATGAACTGTTCAGAGAGATGTTTTATATTTATATTTACCTTCTTGTGCCTTGTGGAGCAGCTACTGAATTTGCAGGAATGGAAAACAAGTTGCTAGGTGAGGTGTCTCTAGAAGCGCTGGCTTCAATGAAAAAGAAAGTATAACCCCCCAATATAGAATTATTTGCTTCCACTTATCTGCTTTTCCATTTTAGGAAATTGTGGGCACCAGCTCAGGAGAGGCAGCAGGAGCCCCCGCCCGAATCTCTGGTCTCCTTTAATGAGTTCTGTGAGAGAAGATTCTAGGGTGAGGCCAGACCTGGATGAGGCCTTAGAAGAGGGTGGATCTGGGCAGGGCTGGAACAGAAAGTGGACCCCATGTTTCTGATGTTCATGCTGGTGGAGTATTTCCAGTTCTGTCTTTCCTAAGCCTTCCCAACAGAGACTTGACTCTTAGAGCTTGTGTAATTTTAATCTGTTTTAGCCACTTCCCTGTCAATTTTTATAACACATGATAACAAGAAACTTAAGCAAAACTCTTAGGGTTTTTTAGGACAATTATATGAGAAGCTAAAAACTTATTTTTACCAAGATAAAAGAAATAGAAATAATCACAACAACAACAATAATTCTTCTGTCCATGAATAGTCCTTCAGGTAGTGACATCGGAACTCAAGGAACAGCATAAGGGAAATGGAGCAAATGCAGCCAAGGCCCCCTGTGCAGCTCCCTTCTCCCTTCCGACTACAGGATGCTGAATTCAGCCATTAATCCATTTCCCTTCCGACCACAGGATGCTGAATTCAGCCATTAATCCATTTCCCTTCCGACCACAGGATGCTGAATTCAGCCATTAATCCGTTTCCCTTCCGACCACAGGATGCTGAATTCAGCCATTAATCCGTTTCCCTTCCGACCACAGGATGCTGAATTCAGCCATTAATCCATTTCCCTTCCGACCACAGGATGCTGAATTCAGCCATTAATCCATTTCCCTTCCGACCACAGGATGCTGAATTCAGCCATTAATCCGTTTCCCTTCCGACCACAGGATGCTGAATTCAGCCATTAATCTGTTTGCTCTAGATGAAAAGTTACTGGACAGTAGAAACCATGAATTCTTCATCTGTTTTTCTGATGGTCATGTGATATAGTTTAGATGTCCCCTCCAAATCTCATATTGAATTTTAATCCCCAATGTGGCAGGTGGGACCTGGGGAGGAGGTGGTTGAATCACTGGGTGAGTCCCTCATGGATCTGTGCCATCCTTGTGATAGTGAGTACTCGTGAGATCTGGTTGTTTAGAAGTGTGGCCCATCCCTCCCCCATCTTTCTTGTTTCTGCTTCTACCATGTGAGATGCCTGCTTCTCTTTCACCATGATTGTAAGCTTCCCCAGGCCTTCCCAGAAGCAGACGCTGGTGCTATGCTTCCTGTACAGCCTGCAGAACCATGAGCCAATCAAACTCTTTTCTTATAAATTACCCAGTCTCAGGTTTTTTAAATAGCAATGCAAGAATAGCTTAATACCTCATATGAAAAGAAAGCAATTGATATATTTACCAGTTTGAGTACTTACCAGTTTGAGTCTCCAGACCTCTGCCTTGCTTCAACTCAAAGAACAGGAAGGGAGCAACCTCCATCTACTGCTCCTGATTATGGGAGAATCTTCAGTTCATCTTAAAACATTTCAGTCAAAAGCACCGTGTTTTATGTAGAAGAATGAGGGTGTCTGAAAGAATGGGTCTCTTTATTTATTTTTATTTCTGAGACAGGGTCTCTTTCCCTGTCATTCTGGCTGGGGTGCAGTGGTTCACTGCAGCTTTGACATTCTGTGCTCCAGCGATTCTCCCACCTCAGCCTCCCAAGTAGCTGGGACCACACGTGCACACTACCACAACCAGATAATATTTGTATATTTGGCAGAGATGAGGTTTTTCTATGTTGAGCATGCTGGTCTTGAACTCCTGAGCTCAAGTGATCCTCCAGCCTCTGCCTTTCAAAGTGCTGGAATTACAGGTGTGAGCCACCACACCGGGCAGATGGGTCTTAACTGATTTTAATCAGGATACATGAGCATGGAAGACATGCCCTTAATTTTTTTCCTAATACAATATTTGACAGTTATATAACTATGATTTTTTTATTCCTGTGATTCATAAGGATATGATAGTAAAAGGCCTTGAAAGCCTGTAGGAAAAAAGTGCTATATTGTGCTTGAAACCACCTTTTACTCTGAAAGCAAGTGCCATCCAGATACATCTTTTGAGAAGATATTTTCTCCTGCTGCATTTTAGTCAAACAGCTGAGTGTGTCTTGAAGTAGTTTTTTGATTTTTAACAGGACAAGTGTATTTTCTAAGACCCCAAACTCAGGAGTGGCCATGGGGCAAATCACCGCTGCACACATGGAATGCATGCACAGCAAATGCATTTCTCATCCCGAACCAGGGGTTGTTCCCCCTGGGTGCACACAGGAATCACCAGGGAGGCTTTTAAAATTACCTAAACTCAAAAGGCAATAGATAAGTGAACTCAGAATCCCTGCAGTGGGACCTGAGCCATAGTGCTGTTTAAAGCTCTCTGGGTGACTATGGGGTACAACCAAGCCCCCAAACTGCTGCTTTAAATCAGCCTCTTCGGGTGAACTAGTGGCAAATGGTTTCCTGAAATGAATGGTTTAAATCAGCCTTTTCTGGTGAACTAGTGGCAAATGGTTTCCTGAAATGAATGGTTTAAATCAGCCTCTTCCGGTGAACTAGTGGCAAACGGGTTCCTGAAATAAATGGAAAGATTTGCTGCTGGGTTGTGCTCTTCTGATCTTACCTGCATTACCTACTTTTCCTTGCCGAACTGACCTCTGCTACGTATTTTATTCCTGATTCAATCCAGTTCTACTCATACCAAATGCATAGTATGCACTAGGTGCCCTTGCATTGCTGAACCTCACCGTGGGGAGAGGACTTTGCTGAATAATAATTGCATCCTAAAAAAACTCAAAATACTGGACTCAAATGATCCTCCTGCCTTGGCCTCCCAAGAGCTGAGACTGTAGGCATGAGCCACCGTGCTTGGCCTATACCCTAAAAAATTAAAACTATCTTACTTACTAAATTGATGTAAACATGGGAAGACCTAGAAGGTCACCGAAGTGTTACAACATAAGTAAATACCTTGGAATATTAATATCCATCTGATGATGCCCCGAGAAAACATGTCCCACTTTAAAACAGTACAAAACAGTGCTATTATTCTGAGATATGAAGTTAAAATTTTGTGCAAATAGGTAATATTTAAATTTTTATATATGTATAACATTCATGCAGAAAGACGTATACAAAGAAATCATGTAAAGTTCAATGAATTATTACAAAGTGAACACACGTGTGTAACCTAGAAATAGAACCAGCTTCACAGATGTCCTGGTAACCACTTTCTCTCTTTTGCTCCCCCAAAGTCACTAAGATCTTAAGAGCTAACAGTGTAGATCAACTTTGTATTATTATACATGTTTTATTACAGAAAATTTAAAACATACACAAAATAAAAGAAACAGTACAATAGGCCTGTTACCCAGGCTCAACAACAACTAATAACATGCCAATTTTGTGTTATCTATACTTCAACTCATTTCTCACACAGACTTTGTTATTTATTATTATTTTTTGTGGTATAAAATGTGTGCTCATTGAAGGTAAAATCTTGGCTGAGCACAATGGCTTAAGCCTGTGTAATCCCATCACTTTGGAATGACAAGGCAGGAGGATCATTTGAGGTCAGGAGTTTGAGAGCAGCCTGGGCAGCATAGTGAGACCACATCTTTATTAAATTTTTTTTTTAATTAATCAGGCGCGGTGGTGCATGCCTGTAGTTCCAGCTACTTGGTATGTTGACATAGCAGGATCCCTTGATTCTACGAGTTTGAGGCTACAGTGAGTTGTGATTGTGCCACTGCACATCAGCCTGGGTGACAGAGTGAGACTCTGTCTCAAAAAAAAAATAAATAAAGGTTCGACCTTAACTAGCTTTTTACACATAAACACACCCATATAAGCAATCCCTCTTTTAACAATAGAAGTACCAAATTAAAAATCATTAGTGTGAACCCACTTTTAACTCAGACTTTATCTTTTAATAAGTTTCTTTTCTTTTTTTTTTTTTTGAGGTAAGATGTGCACTCATTGAAAGGTCTAATCTTGGCTGGGCATGGTGGCTCACATTCGTAACCTCATCACTTTGGAAGCCAGAGCTCAGGAGTTTGAGACCAGCCTAGGCAACATAACAAGGCCTCACTGGGGCAAGAGAGTGAGACCTCATCTCTACAACAATTTTTTAAAAGTTAGTTGGGCATAGTGGTGCACACTTCTAGTCACAGCTATTTGAGAGGCTGACTTGGGAGGATCACTGGAGTCTGGGAGGTCAAGGCTGCAGTGAGCTGTGATTGCATCACTGCACTCCTTCCAGAGGGACAGAGTGAGGCTCTGTCAAAAAAAGGTACAATTTTAACTGTACATGTTTGATACATCAACACATCCATATAAACAATCCCTCTCTTAAAAATAAAAGTACCCAATTTAACAGTTATTAATATTCATATGAATTACCTAGAAGCTTTTTGTTTGTTTTGGTTTGGATTTTTATTGAAAGGGGACACCTAGAAATGTCATTTAAAATCTAGATTTTGATAAAAATAAGGCTGAGTTTTTTCTTTTTTTGAGATGGAGTTTTGCTCTGTCGCCCAGCTGGAGTGCAGTGGATTGATCTCGGCTCACCAAAACTTCTGCCTCCCGGGTTCAAGCAATCCTCCTGCCTCCCAACTAGCTGGGACTACAGGCATGAGCCACCACATTCAGCTAATTTTTTTTTTTGTATTTTTAGTGCAGATGGGGCTTCCTTATGTTGGCTAGGCTAGCCTTGAACTCCTGACCTAAGGTGATCCACCCGCCTTGGCCTCGCAAAGTGCTGGGATTACAGGCATAAGCCACCATGCCCAGCCAGTCCTAAGTTTTGCCTGAGAATTTCTCTTTCTAAGAAAGTACATCATATGGCAGTTACAAGGTCTCTTTTGTCTAAAATAAATAGAATTTAATAAATAAAAATTTAAAAAATTTACCTGAGATTAAAGGACAAATAAAAACACATGGGTAATATGTTCTCTGTAGGAATATATTTTAACAATGACATAAATTATTAATAATCACTAAATGTTATAATAATTTATTAACTAAAATTAACAAAATTCCTATTACGATATCTAGGAAAATACTTTCTTAGAGTAAAATATTCTCATATCTTGAGAGAGCATTGGTTAAAAACAGCAAAGATGTGCAAGTCGATGTCTTATCAAGTACTTACTATCACGTAAGTAGCAGACCCCTCTTCACAGCTTTTACAGAGTTATCCAAAACGCAGTCATTTACACAAGAGCAGACAATTTTCCTAGCTTTCTATTGAGTTTATAGGTTAATGTTGTTACAAAATTTATGAAATTACCTGACCAAATTTTATATATTATTTCATAATATATCAAAATTTATTTAGATGTCAAATTTCATATCATAATATTATAATATATAACGATATCATATTATGATAAGTTCCATTTACTTTCAGACAATTTCACTAGGCAGTGTCTGTCTACCACTAATTCTTTTTTCGTTCCACTATTTGCACAGGCAGCACAGCTGGGAAAACACAGACTCACCCAACACAGTCTCTTCCCTGTGACTTTCTCCTCCTCAAGGAATCAGTTCATCAGTCAATCAAGTCATTTGGGACTGGAGGCTGAGTACTCCTTAACATAGAAGGTCTCGTTCCTGCATGCTTTCCTCAGCAGAGGGGGAGACAAGAAGGTCCTTTTAGGGGACACTTGCTTGGACATAGACTAGGCTAGTTGGAGGGCTCTGACCAGCAGAGACAGACTCCGCCGCAGTAGGAAGGGATGAGGCAGCTGTTCTGAACCTGGAGCTCCACCACACCTTGTCCTGTCTCACTGAGGCAGTTTTGAGAGGCTGCCCTGGAATACGTCTTGCTGGTGGATGTTGAGAATCAATGTGGGCTTTGACGGGATTCAGGTGGTGTCCGCAGTGTGAAGACAGGAGCTGATGTTCAGAATCTAGGCTGTTTGTCTTGTGATCAGTTGGGTTACCTGTTTGAGACCAAGTCCATTTTCACTAGGGAGGGCTGAATAAAGCCCACAGAACACAATGGCGCTCCCAGGATGACTGAGGAAGGGTGAGAATGGGGGAAAGTTTTTCCACCGAGACTTTTTGCTACCTCAGGAATCGGGGGCTAATTAGGTTAGCACTGACTCAACCTAATCAATTCAATTTTATTGCATTTGATCTAATTATCTTCCCCATTTTTAAGGTAGGAAGGGCCATTTCATTTGGTATTTATTTTTTCTCTGCATTTTTATTTCATCATATATGTGTGGACCTAATACAATCAACCATAATTTGACATTTGTTGTTTCCAAGCATTTAAGAAATTATAATATCTATGCATACAATGTTAACACTATGTATAATAAATTCTCTTTCTGTGCAAAATATATAACATATGACAATATAGGCATGTTTAATTGTGCATCTTGAAAGGTGAACAGGATCATAAATCCTTCCAGGTAGGAACTGGGACAGAAATAGGAAGAAATGCTTCCCCGATTTTCCGGTCCCTGTGCTCCCGGTTCTTTGTTTTCTGGACACCATGACAGGATCCTGAAAATGTCTCCCTTTAACTGTGTCTAGGTCCCCAGTAGAACTACAGCAAGAAACTTCTGATTGAGGCTCTAAGAAGCGGCAGGAATGAGAAAACTCTTCAGCCAATAAGAGTAAGCCACGCCCAGCCGAGGGACGTATAAAAGGCAGGTCTAGCAGACTAACCCACACTCTGCCTTTGGACGTGAGAGAGAGCGCACCTTTCACTTGAGCTTCAACATGGGAAAGGGAAATGAAGACTCCGATCTCCACTGCTCCTCCATCCAGTGCTCCACTGACCAGCCCCCTTTCCAACAGATCTCCTTTACAGAAAAGGGCTCAGATGAGAAGAAACCATTCAAAGAAAAAGGCAAGACCGCCTTCTCCCATTCCAGTGAGAAGCACATACAAAGGCAAGGTAAGGCCTTGGGCTGCTCCTGTGGAGTCTGGAAGGAGGGTTGGAATCAGGGATACTGAGCTGTGTCTTTAGCAGGGTTTTATTTTGAGATTTGGGGATGGGAAATGGCTTAGTGCCCTCAGGGGACTTGAGAAATGTGTTCACTCGTGACACTGGCAGAAGAGCTTCACATGAAAGACTGATCCGCAAAAATGCATCAGAGATAGACTGTGGGACTCTGCCTAGGGAGAGGTGAGTCACCTAAACCTTCTCTTGCAGCAGGATCGGAGCCCAATCCAAACAAGGAGAATTCTGAGGAAACCAAGCTCAAGGCCGGGAACAGCACTGCTGGATCAGGTAAGATTTGACTCTTTCAAGGTGAGAAGGGACAGGGAAGCAACACAGGCTCCCCTGGCAAGGAAACTGGGAGCTCCTTGGCAGCCAGGGCCGTACAGATCCTGGACACTGGAGAACAGAAGAGAGCTGGGGTTTGGTGGTAACCTCAGCTCCTGTGTGTCCAGGATGGACTAGGAATTTCAGGGTGTTCAGTTGGAGGCACTTTCTCAAACTCTCATTGTGTTCACAGAACCAGAGTCCAGCTCATATCGGGAAAACTGCAGGAAAAGAAAAATGAGTTCCAAGGACAGCTGCCAAGACACAGCAGGTAGAATCTTGGTGTTTGTTGTTGTTGGTGGTGGTTTTTTTGTTTTTGGTTTGCCCCAAAAGGCAAATAATCAGGAAACTTTTATACGAGGCTTGAGCGGAAAGGGAGTTACTTATTGACGAGTAAATTTTTGAGATCTTAGCACTCTGAGAATATTTGGGGACTCACAGGGGGTTCAGCCTCACTTCATTCCAGTGCTGAGATGGTCAGGAAGGAGTGGGAGAGACAAGTGGGGTTCACCTGGGTGTACAGGGGGTTCTGGAAATCAGGGTCTGTGGGGACTGCTCTGGTGAGTCTCTCACATGCTTTCTTTGCAGGGAACTGTCCAGAAAAGGAGTGCAGCTTGTCATTGAATAAAAAATCAAGATCCTCCACTGCTGTGCACAACAGTGAAATCCAGGAGACCTGTGATGCCCACCATAGGGGACATTCCAGGGCTTGCACTGGGCACAGCAAGCGGCATAGGTCTCGGGCCCTAGGAGTCCAAACACCGTCAATTCGAAAAAGCTTGGTGACTTCTGTGCGAGCTATGTCAGAGGCTGTTTATCAAGACCTAGCCCAGGTGTGGGCACAGCAGATCCATTCTCCACTTACCTGTGAGCAGCTGACACTGCTCACTCGGCTCCGGGGGCCTCTGTGTGCCCAGGTGCAGACCTTGTATTCCATGGCCACCCAGGCAGCTTATGTCTTCCCTGCTGAGAGCTGGCTTGTCCCAGCCACACTGCCAGGTCCTGGGGAATCAGCCCTGGATAGAGAAGCCCATCCCTTCCCTGGGCAGGAGATAACTGAGACTGTCAGTGGATCAGATGAGGCTAAGCTGTGAGCACCCTGACCCTATTCAGCAGAGATGCAGCTCTGGGAATGAGAACAAGGATCTGCTTCTTCTCAGATTCTTCCAGATGACCAGCAGTGACAATTTTAGACACACTGTGTTAATAAATGACAGAACCTGAAGAAGTCATAGGAAAGAAACTTGAGCGGTATACTCAGAATGGTGAGAGCCCTGAATTTTGCAGACCGCTAAGACTATAGACAAATTTTATATTTCATGTTAGACATTTGATGCCTTTTGGATGTCTGATGACAGTCATGCATTTCTATATAATCAGAAAAACATTAGAATGTAATCGTGAATTTGCATATTTTAGATTGTAGAAAAGTAAATATAAAATTATGTGCTCCTTTTTTGTTTTTTTTTTTTTGAGACAGTCTTGCTATGTTACCCAGGCTGGAGTGCAGTGGCACAATCTTAGCTCACTGCAACCTCTGCTTCCTGGGTTCAAACAATTCTCATGCCTCAGCCTCCCAAGCAGCTGGGACTACAGGCATGTACTGCTATGCCTGGCTAATTTTTTTTTTCCTGTATTGTTAGTAGAGACAGAGTTTTGTCACTTTGGCCAGGTTGGCCTCGAACTCAGGTGATCTGCCAGCCTCCGCCTCCCAACGTGCTGGGATTACAGGCATGAGCCGCCTTACCAAGAAATTGCTTCTCTTTTAATCCAGAAAAGGTTGTAGGCTCTCACTCTTCCAGCCTGAACCCATGGAGTACTAATATCCACAAACCATTAATAGCACTCCCTGTGGGAAAATGTCTATATATTTTTAGTTTGATATAATTATAGTAAAATTACTATGCAAGCTGTTTACTTTTAATATTTCTACATAAAATTTAAGTCAAGATATAGTAAATGGTAAATGATTGTACTTATTTATTGACCTGCCTCATGTTTCATTTCATTTTAAACATCCTAAATTTATATTTTATTATATTTTATACATTTCAATTGATTGTACTATATTGCAGGATATGGAGATTTCATCACGTACTACAATACAGTGTATTTTGTTATATTTGACGTATATTCTACTTGTATTTTGTACTGAGATCATACACTATTTCATTATCTAAGTGTATTAATTGTTTGGTTGCTTTATAATTTTCATTTTATGTAATGAAATAAACAATGTTGTTTGGAATTTTAAATTTCTTTCATATGGAATTTGTATTTAATAAAAATGTGAAAAAGAGAATGTCTTATCGTCACTTCCGTGTCATCCTATCCCTGACCTCCCCACAGCCCACAGCTCTTGTCATAGTGCGGGAATAGTGTTCTATCACTACAGGAAATGGGGCCAATTCAATGGTAATACACAGATATGAATTGGAGATACAGAGATTTTATTCTCGAGCACTGCAGTATAAAAGAATCACAGTAACGCGAGTCACACAATTTTTGGGTTGACACTGCTTATGAGTTATGCTTACACTCTGCTGTAGAATAACGCTGAAATAAATTATGTCTATTAAACAAATGCACATACATAAATAATGTGTCTAAATAACAATGTACATAATGAAAATGAATTTTATTGCTAAAAAATGTTAACACACAGATACACACAATGGGATCATATAATGTTGAAAAATAGAGATGGGGAGAGGAACAGAGACAGAGAGAAAGGGAGGAATGGAGCGAGAAAAGGACGGATGGATAGAGGGACATTGGAAAGGAGAAAGTGGGGAGCGGGGAGGGAGGAGGGAGGGAGGGAGGAGGGAGGGAGGGAAGGACAGAGGGAGAAAGGGAGCAAGAGACAGAGAGGAAAGCAGAGAGGAAAGCGGTCTTCCGCCTCCAGGGCCAGCGGGACCTCGCACTCCGGGAAAACGTGGGGTGCCCGGTGCAGGCCGAGAGCTCGGCCCACAGCCGCGTCTGCTTGCGGGGCGCCCACCAGCTCACCAGCCCTCCGGATCGCCGGCCCGGGTCACTTCATCCCGGAGCAATTCGGACGAATTCCGCCTCCCAAGGAATGAGAGCAATGAGCCGAGACGCGGGTGATTGTCCGTTTTCCATCCACGTGGTTCACAGACGACACGGCCCCGCGTTGAGCAACAGAGCGCGAGGCGGACAGGCCCGTCCACACGGGAGTCACACTCAGGCCGAGTGAACCGTGATTCCGGGTTCCACGCTCCTTCGCCCTCTGCAAGGGGACCTGTTGCTCGCGTGTCTCCCGCCCCCGAAAGCGCGACCACGTTGGCTGTTTCCCGAGCTCTGCGGGGACACAGAAACCTCCAGCGAAGCGTGGAAAAGCAGCATCGTGACTTCGCTCTCCTTTCCGGTTTCCAGACCGGCCACAGTGGAGACTCCCCTTGTTGCAGGAAACAGGAATCCGTGGTCAGGCCGTGATGCACCCGACGTTTCTTTTCTCTGCAGTTTCGCTCTCGTTTTCTACATGAAAACGAACGAGATCCACACCCCTGCGTGTGTGAACTATCACGGCAACGGCGACACCCACAGAGGGCCTGGAAAACTCAAGACCGTCACGGAAGTTCAGTTCCACACTCCACCCTTCGGGGTGGTTTCTGCCTGAAAACTGAGTCAAGACAGCGGCTTCCAGTTTCCATAGAATTACTGGAGAACCTCAGAGAGCCAGCCCCGGAAGCCCCTCTTTCCCCTCCAATCCGGCCCTGCACCCACCCACCCCACAAGGCCCTGGTCCCTGTGGTTTTCGGCTTCGGAGGGCGGGCTACCCCGGGACCTTGGGCCCCGAGCTCATGCATGTTCATAACGCGGTGGAGGTGGTAGGTCTTTCTAAGGGCCTCCTGGCTGCACCTGCCGCAGTGCACAGGCCGGCTGAGGTGCACGGGAGCCCGCCGGCCTCTCTCTGCCCGCGTCCGTCCGTGAAATTCCGGCCGGGGCTCACCGCGATGGCCCTCCCGACACCTTCGGACAGCACCCTCCCCGCGGAAGCCCGGGGACGAGGACGGCGACGGAGACTCGTTTGGACCCCGAGCCAAAGCGAGGCCCTGCGAGCCTGCTTTGAGCGGAACCCGTACCCGGGCATCGCCACCAGAGAACGGCTGGCCCAGGCCATCGGCATTCCGGAGCCCAGGGTCCAGATTTGGTTTCAGAATGAGAGGTCACGCCAGCTGAGGCAGCACCGGCGGGAATCTCGGCCCTGGCCCGGGAGACGCGGCCCGCCAGAAGGCCGGCGAAAGCGGACCGCCGTCACCGGATCCCAGACCGCCCTGCTCCTCCGAGCCTTTGAGAAGGATCGCTTTCCAGGCATCGCCGCCCGGGAGGAGCTGGCCAGAGAGACGGGCCTCCCGGAGTCCAGGATTCAGATCTGGTTTCAGAATCGAAGGGCCAGGCACCCGGGACAGGGTGGCAGGGCGCCCGCGCAGGCAGGCGGCCTGTGCAGCGCGGCCCCCGGCGGGGGTCACCCTGCTCCCTCGTGGGTCGCCTTCGCCCACACCGGCGCGTGGGGAACGGGGCTTCCCGCACCCCACGTGCCCTGCGCGCCTGGTGCTCTCCCACAGGGGGCTTTCGTGAGCCAGGCAGCGAGGGCCGCCCCCGCGCTGCAGCCCAGCCAGGCCGCGCCGGCAGAGGGGATCTCCCAACCTGCCCCGGCGCGCGGGGATTTCGCCTACGCCGCCCCGGCTCCTCCGGACGGGGCGCTCTCCCACCCTCAGGCTCCTCGGTGGCCTCCGCACCCGGGCAAAAGCCGGGAGGACCGGGACCCGCAGCGCGACGGCCTGCCGGGCCCCTGCGCGGTGGCACAGCCTGGGCCCGCTCAAGCGGGGCCGCAGGGCCAAGGGGTGCTTGCGCCACCCACGTCCCAGGGGAGTCCGTGGTGGGGCTGGGGCCGGGGTCCCCAGGTCGCCGGGGCGGCGTGGGAACCCCAAGCCGGGGCAGCTCCACCTCCCCAGCCCGCGCCCCCGGACGCCTCCGCGGCAAGCACAGATGCCAGCCATCCAGGCGCCTCCCAACCGCTCCAGGAGCCGGGGCGCTCGTCTACAGTCACCTCCAGCCTGTTATATGAGCTCCTGTAGACACCAGAGTTTCAGCAAAAGGCACGACCTTTCCTAGATCCGGCGCCACTGGGGGAGCTGAAGGACGTGGAAGAGCCCGCTCTGCTGGAACCACTCCTCAGCCAGGAAGAACACCGGGCTCTGCTGGAGGAGCAGGTTGGAGCGGGGTTGGGGCGGGGTGGGGGCAGGACGGCGCCCTCTCTTTCGCGGTGAACCTCTGACTCGGTATGGAGAGGCGTGCCTTCCCTTCCAGCTGACCTGTCTAGGATCCCTGAGTTCCAGGTCCGGTGAGAGACTCCACACAGAGGAGGGCTGTCATTCTTTCCTGAGCATCCCGGGGATCCCAGGGCCCGCCCAGGTACCGGGAGGTGGACTGTCTACTGCGCATGCGCAGGTTTGCAGGCAGCAGCCTAGGTTTTCCAACCAGCCCAGGCGGAGCTCTCATTCCTTTTTCCCCAGCGTTCTTCAGTCGAGTTGGCGGAGACCTCAGTCCGCGAAGCGCTGGGCCGGGGCAGAAGCCAGGCCAGTTCTCCTTTCCGTGGCTCGACTCCTCTGCCTCTTCGCTCACCAACACTTGCCAACCCCCGTCCCGCCAGCCTCCTCGCCAGCACCATGGAGCGCCTTGCAACTAAATGTAGACCCGAGACCCCGTGCAAACCAGGGTGCTGCCCTTTCCAGGCAAGAGGCAAGGCAGGCAGAGATGAGGACGGGAACGGAGACAGAGTGGGAGGGAAGGATGGAGCTAGGAAAGGATGGATGGACGGAGGGACCCTGGAAAGGAGAGAAAGAGGGAGGGAGGGAGAAAGGGAGGAAAAAACCAGGGGAGGAAGGGAAGAGCAGACGGAAGGATGGACCGAGGGACAAAAGGAGCAAGAAACAGATAAAGGAAGGCAGACAGAAAAACAGTCTTCTGCCTCCAGAACCAACAGGACCCAGCACTCCGGGAAAATGCTGGGTGCCCAGCGCGGGCTAAGTGCTGGGCCCTCCGGATCGCCAGCCTGAGTTACTTCATCCCGGAGCGATTCAGACGAATTCCGTTTCCGAAGGAATGAGCGAATTCCCCAGAGAGCAATGAGCTGAGACTCAGGTGGTTGTCCGTTTTTCATCCACATGGTTCACAGATGACATATCCCCACGTTGAGCCCTGCAACAGAGCGCGAGGCGGATAGTCCCATCCACACAGGAATCACGCTCAGGCCAACTAAAGCGTGATTCTGGATTCCACGTTTCTTTGCCCTCTGCAGAGGTGCCTGTTGCTCAAGTCTCTGCCCCCGCCCCCCGAAAGTGTGACCATGTTGACTGTTTGTTTCCCGAGCTCTGTGGGGACCCAGAAACTTCCAGGAATGCGTGGAACACCAGCATCGTGTCGGTGCTCTCCTTTCCAGTTTCAAACAGGCTATATTGCAGACCCCCCATTTTGCAGGAAACAGGAATCCATCGTCAGGCCGTGATGCACGGGACGTTTCTTTTCTCTGTGGTTTCGATCTCGTTGTCTACATGAAAATGAACGAGATCCACACACCTGCGTGTGTGAGACTATCAGGGCAACTGTGACACCCACGCGCTGGCAATAGAGTTGGCAGCCTGATCCCAGGACAAAGGTACTGACGGACATCCAGACACACCCCACCACAATCACTAGCAAACCCACTCCCAAACACACAGACACACACGGGCGCACGCGCGGGAACACAAGCACACACACAGACACACAAAGACACAGACAGCTTGAAGAAAAGCAAAGGACAGAGGGATGGAAAGATAGAAACGGAAGGAGAGAGAGAAACAGCGAGAGAGAGAGAGAGAGAGAGAGAGAGAGAGGGAGGAGAGCGGGCAAGGTGGAGAGGGAAGTAGAGAAAGGGAGCGGGCGAGGGAGCTAGAGAAGGAGAGCAACAGAGCCTTGGAGAAGGAGGCTCTGCTCTGGTAGACAGGGGCCCCTTTGGCCAGGGTAGGGTGGAGCGTGCCTGGGCCGGGCTAGAACAGGGGGGCAGGGCCGCCCACGAGGGAAAACCAAGGGAGCCCTGAGACGTGTTTTCACTTGGATTGGTTGGTGGCTTTGGGGGTGCGTTTCGTAGCGTCATTCCTTTGCTGGCTCCTCCCTGTCCTCTTGGTGCTGTGGGTCCTGAAAGTTGTCGAGTGCGCCCGTCCCTGTGGCGGGAGCAGTGGCCCCGAGCGTGCCCACGGGCCCCGGCTTGGGTTTCTCTCGTGTTTAGAATGGTATGGCCGTAGACAATGGCGGTGGCCCCTGGCTGGTCCAAGAGCCCGGTCCAGCTACGCGCGTCTGATTCCAGGCGTCACCACCAACCCGGGGCCGCGAGGCTGGGATCAGGCACCCCCGGAGCCGCTCGCCCGCGGCCGGGCTGCTCTCCCCCTCTATACGCCCAAGCACCAGTCGCCGCGCTGCGTTTTCCGCCGGCCTCGCAGAGCGTCCCGCTATCGCCGGCGGCCAGACCACGCGCAGGACCGCTGAGGCGCCCGAGGCCTCCATTCCCTGCCAGGGCTCTGGACTCTCCAGGCGGCCTCCCTTTAGCTGACACTCCAGGCCTTCCCCTGGCTCTCCAGCTCCGGAGCTTCCAACACTTGGGGCCTGCTCAGGACGGGGTGTGATCCCAGGTGTCAGGGCCCAGGGCCCACGGTCCTGGGATCCCCTCTGGTCCTCCGCCTTGCCGCGGAAAAATTATTTTGGATTCCTCGCCGCCCCTCCTGCAAGGCCCCCTCTTGCCCCACACTCCCAGAGAAGCCAGGGCTGCCCGGGGGCGAACAGCCGGCCCAGCCCCGCGGGCCCTTTTTCTCACAACGCCCACACCATTGTCGCTTGTCCCGAGGAAGACCGGCCCGTGGCCAAGGGGGCAGGAAGGCCCTGCTTTGTCCGGCGCTGGCACTAGAGCCCCGGCAGCCTGATCCCGGGAAAGAGGGGCTGACGGACACCCAGACACACCCCACCACCACCACGAGCAAACCCACCCCCCCACACACACACAGATACACACGGGCGCGCGCACACGCACACGGACACGCACGGACACACACACAAAGACACAGACGGCTTGAAGGACAGCAAGGGAGAGAGGGATGGAGAGATAGAAACAAAGGGTGAGACAGAGACAGAGATAGAGACAGAGAGGGTGGGGAGAGACGGAGAGAAGGTGACAGAAGAGCGAGAGGTGGAGGGGAAGAAGAGAAAAAGAGAGGATGAGGGAGCTGGAGAGCGAGAGCCATAGAGCCTTGGAGGAGGCTCTGCTCTGGCAGACAGGGCCCCTTTGAGCAGGCCGGGGTGGGGTGGAGGGTGCTTGGGCTGGGCCAGAACAGGGGGGCAGGGCCGTCCAAGGGAGAGGACTAACTGAGCCCTGAGACGTGTTCACTCTTGGATTGGTTAGTTACTTCAGGGGTGCGTTTGGTAGGGTCCTTCCTTTGTTTGCTCCTTTCTGTCTTCTTGATGCAGTAGGCTCCGAGATTTGTAGAGTGCGCCTGTCCATCTGACCGGAGCCATAACGCCGAGCGTGCTTACAGGGCACAAGACCTGGGTCTCTCTCGTGTCCCCGAGACTGCATTTTACACGAAGTCGGTGGCAATGAAAATCCAAGTGCACAGGGACGGTTTTCTTGGTGGCTGACGAAGGCAATGTCCTTCCGCGGTGGAAAGCAGCCCATGCGTTGTGGAGCGCAGGCGTGCGGAAAAGTGGGAGTAGAGTCAGGGGGCCGTTGGGAAGCACGGCGACAAAAGGGGGAAAGAGGGAGGGAGCGGGGAGCCAAAAGCCTTCAGCACCCTGTATTCCCAGGGGGTCTCGCATCCCAAGTACTAACCAGGCCCGACTCTGCTTAGCTTTCAAGGTCAGTCGAGATCCCGTGCGTTCAGGGTGGTGTGGCCGTAAAGGCCGGCAGTGGCGGCTGCTCGACTCCTGGCGTCACCGCCACCCCTGGGCCGCGGGGCTCAGATCCGGGGCCCCAGAACCGCTCCCCCGCGGCCGGGCTGCTCTCCCCATCAAGGTCCCAGCACCGCCGGCCGCCGCGCTGCGCCTTCCGCCGGCCTCCCAGAGCCACCCCCGTCGCCTGCGGCCAGAGAACGCGCCGTGGCACCGCCCTGCTGCAGCGCGGGAGAGCCAGAGACCTCAGTCCCCTGCCCAGGCTCCAGGCACACCAGGTGGCCTCCCTTTTCGCAGACGCTCCAGGCCTTCCCCGGCTTGGGAGCTCCCAAGCTTCCAACACATCTGGCCGGCTCAGGACGGGGTGTGCTCCGAGGCGTCAGGGCCCAGGGCCAACTGTCCTGGGATCCCCTCCGGTCCTTCGTCTTGCCGCAGAAAAATTGTTTTGGATCCCTCGCCGCCCCTCCTGCAAGGCCCCCTCTTGCCCCACACACCCAGAGCCGTCAGGGCTGTCCAGGGGCAAACAGCCGGCCCAGCCCTGAGGGCCCTTTTTCTCACAACGCCCACACCATTGTCGCTTGTCCCAACGAGGACTCGCCCCGTTGGCCAAGGCCCTGCTTTGCCCCGCGCTGGCACTAGAGCCCCCGCAGCCTGATCCCGGGGGAGAGGGGCTGATGGGCCACCCAGACACACCCCACCACCACGAGCAAACCCACCCCGACACGCACACAGATACACACGGGAGCACGCGCGCGGTCACACACACACGGACACACACGGAGACACACACGGGCACACACACACGGACACACAAAGACACAGACACAGACAAAGATAGCTTGAAGTAAGGGAGGAGACCACCCCTCATATTGTCTTATGCCCAATTTCTGCGTACTGAGACTAACACAGCAACTGTGACACCCATGCGCTGGCGATAGAGTAGGCAGCCTGATCCCGGGACAAAGGTACTGACGGACATCCAGACACACCCCACCACAATCACGAGCAAACCCATTCCCAAACAGACACACATGGGCGCACCGCTTTTAGTAAAAACTAAAAGGCAGAAATGAAATCCATAGGCAGACAGCCCAGTGTCACACCCTGGGCCTGGTAGTTAAAGATATACCCCTGACCTACTCGGTTATGTTGTCTATAGATTACAGACATTGTATCGAAAAGCACTGTGAAAATCCCTGTCCTGTTTTGTTCTGATCTAATTACCGCTGCATGCAGCCCCCAGTCAGTACCCTCTGCTTCCTCAATGGATCACGACCCTCTCACGCACACCCCCTTAGAGTTGTAAGCCCTTAAGAGGGACAGGAATTACTCAGTCGGGGAGCTCGGTTTTTGGAGACATGAGTCTGCGGATGATCCCAGCTGAATAAAGCCCTTCCTTCTACAACTCGGTGTCTGAGGGGTTTTGTCTGCGGCTCCTCCTGCTACAGAAGGAGAGGAAGGGAGAGAGGAATGGAGAGAGAGAACCAGAGGGAGAGAGAGAGACAGCGATAGAGAGAGAGAGAGAGACAGAGAGTGGGGGAGGAGAGAGAGAGAGAGAGGGAAAGAGAGAGCGCGACAGAAGAGCGCGAGGTGGAAGGGGAAGTAGAGAAAGGGAGAGGCTGAGGGAGTTGCAGAGCGAGAGCGACAGAGCCTTGGAGAGGGAGGCTCTGCTCAGGTAGACAGGCCCCCTTTGAGCAGGCCGGGGTGGGGTGGAGGGTGCTTAGGCCGGGCTAGAACAGGGGGTCAGGGCCCCCCATGCGGGAAAACCAACGGAGCCCTGAGACGTGTTTTTTCTTGGATTGGTTGTTTGCTTTGGGGGTGCGTTTCATAGGGTCCTTCCTTTGTTTGCTTCTTTCTGTCTTCTCGATGCGGTGGCCCCCCAGATTTGTAGATGCGCCCATCCGTCTGGCGAGAGCCCTGGCTCTGAGCCTGTCCACGGGGCCAGGCCTGGGTCTCTCTCGTGTCCTCGGGACTGGAATTTACACGAAGTCGGTGGCAAAGTGCACAGGGACGGATTTCCTCACGGCTGGCGAGGGCAATGTCCTTCCCCCGGGTAAAGCAGCCCACGGGTTCCGGAGCGGAGGTCTCGGCTGGCGTCTGTGGGACCCGATGCCCCTGCCCGCCCCTTCCCCCGGCTTGGACCGTCGCAGCGGCGCTGGATGAATGAATTGCCTGGGCTTCCGGGGAGCGTGAAAGACACCCGGGACCTCAGGGAACCCGCGCCTGCGCCCTCGGGGTCGGTCCAGTCCGCCTGGGTTGGAGCCCGGCTCCTGGTGGGGCTGCGGCGAGTCGGAAAAGGTGGGATGCTGCTGCCTGGCGGTGCTGCAGTGGCGGATCTTCAGGGGGAGGTCCTGGGCTTCGGCTGGGGCGCAGGGGCGGACAGGGTGGAGGGAGGGGGCGGTTGGGAAGCACGGAGACAAAACGGGGAAAGAGGGAGGGAGCGGGAAGCCAAAAGCCTACGGTACCGGCTATTCCCAGGCGGAATCCATCCAAGTACTAACCAGGCCGGACCCTGCTTAGCTTCACGAGCTCAGAGGAGCTGGGGCGCGCTCAGGGTGGTGTGGCCTAGACACCGGCAGCGGCGCCTGCCCGCCCCGACAGCCCGGCCCAGCCACGTCCGCCCCGCTCCAGGCGTCACCGCCACCCCGGGGCAGCGGGGCTCGGATCCGGGACCCCCAGAGCCGCTCGTCCGTGCCCCCGGGCAGCTGTCTCCCTCTACGCCCGAGCACCGCCGGCCTCCCAGAGCGTCCCGCCGTCGCCGGCGGCCAGGCCTCGCGCAGGACCAATGTGGCGCCGCCCTGCTGTTGCTGGGGGGCGTCCTAGGCCTCCGTGCCCTGCCCAGGCTTCCGGCTCTCGGGGCGGCCTCCCTTCCGCCCACGCTCCAGGGCGTCCCCGGCTCCCGAGCTCCGAGCTTCCACCACATCGGCCGGCTCAGGACGGGTGTGCTCATCCCTTCACTTTTTAACTTTTTGTTGTTTCTATTTATATTTTATTGTGCTATGTCTGGAAATGTTGTAGCTATTACTTTTGATTGGATATTATTTAGTATTCCTACTTTGAATAAGAGTAGTTTGCACATCCCACAGCTACAGCGTTATAATATTCTGTTTTGTTTTGTATCCTATTAGCACTGAGGATTTTTTTTACCTTTAGGTGATCATTTATTGCTCATTAATGTCCTTTTCTTCCTGATTGAAGTACTCTCTTTAGCATTCCTTTAGGACAGACATGGTATTCATAAAATACTTCAGCTTTTGTCTGGAAAAGTCAGTATTTCTTCTTTTTATTTGAAGAATATTTTCACTGTATATGCTATTCTAAGGTAAAAGGTTTTTTTTCCTTTAGTACTTTAAATATTTATTGCTTCTCTCTCCTGGCCGGTAGGGTTTCCACCGTAAAGTCTGCTGCCAGAGGTGTTGGAGCTCACTGTTATGTTCTTTGTTTCTCTTCTCTTTCTTCCTTTAGAACTTTTCTTTATCTTTGACTTTTGGAAGATCTATTGAATGCTTTGAAGTAGTCTTTTTTTGGGTTAAATCTGCTTAATGTCCTATAACATTTTTGTAGTTGGATATGGATATCTTTCTCTAGGTTTGGAAAGTTTTCTGTTATTATCCCTTTGAATAAATTTTTCTACCCCTGCCTCTTTCTCTACATCTTCTTTAAAACCAATAACTCTTAGATCTGTCTTTGTGAGGCTATTTTTCTAGATCCTGTAGGCATGATTTGTTGTTTTTATTCTTTTTCTTTTGTCTCTTCTGACTACGTATTTTCAAATAGCCTGTCTTCAAGCTCACTATTTCTTCTGCTTGATCCATTCTGCTATTAAATGGCTCTAATGCATTCTTCAGCATGCCAATTGCATTTTTCAGCTCCAGAATTTCTGCTTAATTTGTTGTAAATTTTTCAATCTCTTTGTTGAGTTTAGCTGACAAAATTTGGAATTTCTTTATTTTGTTATCTTAAATTTCTTTCAGTTTTTTTTTAATACAGCTATGTTGAATTCTCTGTCTGAAAGGTCACATATCTCTTTTTCTCCAGGATTTGTCCCCGGTGCCTTATTTAGTTCACTTGGTGAGGTCATGTTTTCCTGGATGGTGTTGATGCTAGTAGATGTTATTCAGTGTCTGGACATTAAATTCTTGGGCATGCAGCACCATATGAGAGGTTTAAAAAATAAAATTAAAAAAGAGAAAAGGTGAGTATTTATTGTAGTCTTCACTGTCTGGGCTTATTTGTAGCTGTCTTTCTTGGGAAGACTTTTCACATATTTTAAAAGACTTGGGTGTTGTGATCTAAGCCATATCTGCTTTATGGGTACCTTGTACCCAATAATGCTGTAATTCTTCCAGACTCAGAGAAGTACCACCTTGACAGCCTTCAACAAGATCCAGGAGAATTTTCTAGATTACTAGCCAGAGACTCTTGTTCTCTACCATTATTTTCTCTCAAAGATACAGAGTCTTTCTCTCTGTTCTAAGCCACCTAAAGCTGGGAGAAGAAAGACACAAGCATCCCTGGCCACCACCACTATGACTGCCCTGGATCAGACCTGAAGCTAGCACAGCACTGGGTCTTGCTCAAGTCCTGCTGCATGCACTTTCTGATGACTGCCTATGTTCACTCAAGGCCTTTGGTCTCTACAATTAGCAGGTGGCAAAGCCAGCCAGGCCTGTGTTCTTTCCTTTAGGGCAGTGAGTGCCCTCAGTCCCTGGCTGGGTCGAGAAGTGCCATTCAGAAGTCAGGGAGTAGAGTCAAAAGTTTTAGAAGTCCACCTGACATTCTATTGCATTGCAGCTGACCTGACACTCAAACCACAAGACATAGTCCTTCCCATTCCTCCCTTCCTTTCCTAAAGACAGAGTAGCCACCACCACCTCAGGCCACAATGAGTACTGCCAGGCTACCACCAATGTTCCCTTAAGGCCCAAAACCTCTTGTCAACTTGCGATGAATGCTGCCTGGCCTGGGACTTGCCGTTTTCAGGGCAATGGGCTCCCTACTGGCCCTGGGCAGCTTCATAAATGCCAGCCAAGAATCAAATCCTAGAATCAGGGATTATGAAATTTTGCTTGGTGCTCTACCCACCTCTGGCCTTGCTGGTACCTAAGGGGCAAGACAAAGTCCCCTTTAATTTTCCCTCTACTTTTCCCAAGAAGAAGGAGTTTTGCCTTTTAGCTACCACAGCTGGTAATGTGCTGAGTTCACCTAAATCTAGCAAGTCTATGAGGGTCATCCAAGGCCCTTGATGTAGTACTGGGTATGGCTGCTGGTTATTCAGAGCCCAAAGGTTTTCAAGTTTGCAGGCGATAAATCCTGCCAGCACATGGTTCTTTTCTTCAAGGCAGCAGGTTTCCTTCTGGCCCAGGATGTGTCTAGGAATGTCTAGGAGCCAGAGACTGGAAAGGAGGCCTCAGGATTCTGACCAGTGCACTATCTTGCTGTGACTGAGCTGGTGTCCAGGATGAAAGACAAAGTACTCCCTACTCTTTTCCCTCCTCTCCTCAAGCAGAAGGATGGTGTCCCTTTTGGAGCCATGAGCTGTGCAGTCTGGTGTTAAGGGAGTGATAATGCCAGAACTCCTTTGGCTGCCCCAGCTGGTGTCTCAGTGTGTTGCATGCCCTCCCCACCCCAGTCCACTGTCCCTGGGCCCGGTTCAGCCCTAGGCCTCACCTAAGAGTTGCAGTCCTGATGGCCTAGGCTGCCTTTCAAGTTTTCTTAGACACACAGTGCGGGAGCCCTTAGTTGCCAGGTTTCCAAACACTGAAGTTCCAACCACTGGAATCTGATTCCCCTCTAGCTAGGGCTGGTTTAATTGATCCCTCTGTGGATGGGCATTAACTGCATTTGGTCTGGTTTTCCTTTCTGCTCTAACAGGACAGCACTGAGTGCAGTGCGTCACAATTGCTGTGTTCTCCCTCCTGCAGAACCCAGAGTTGTTGTCTGCACCATGCCATCACTGCTGGGGATAAGGAAATGGTGATTTCAGGACTGTTTTTTCTGTCTCTTCAGTGCCTCTTTCAGTGATCTGAGGTTAAAACCAGATACTTTGAGTACTCACCTGATTTTTGGTTCTTATGAATGTATTTTCTATGTGGATATTAATAGTTATTCATCTGGTGTCCTTGCAGGAGGGACAATCAGTGGAGCCTTCTTTCTGCCATCTTGCTTTCCTCTCACACCCAAGAATCAGAATGCAGAACTTTTAATAAGAAAAGCTTTCAGAACTCAGGAAGGACAAGGAAGACATTCTGGTTCTCCATGCTTAACATTGGACTGTTTCTTCAACTTAGGTGCATAGCACTGACTAATCAGGGATTATCATAGATAATTTGACTTGGACTATGCAGTTCATTCAAATTCTTTATCTAGACAATTTAAGTACTAGCTGATTTGGCATGAAAATCTGGCAAAGTATTTTCTTGGTATTCAATTGATTTTTATTCTGCTTGGGTTAGCAATTTTATTAACCAGTCAGTCTCTTCATTAAAGTTCTGGAAATTCTTACCCAGTTCAAATAATATAATTCTAAAGTTCTCAAAAACCTATATTCAAGAGTACTTCTCAGGGCCTTCTCCATCCTTTCATGAACCTCCTTAAAGAAACAATATTCCAGGATTTTGCAAGCTTGTAAAGTTTTCACAAACTGCCTCAGAATTAAGCAATTTACAGTGGAAATGACTTTAAACTATCATAGTTAGACATAATTGGCAAGATAATTTTATTATTTACAGGCGTGAGCCACCATGCCCAGCCTCTAAAGTTAATTTAATAAAACTTTATAAATAAATTTATCAAATGTTGTCATCTTTTAATCCCAGATTTTTGTGAACGTATGCTTTGCATTTTCCCCCAACTTTCTATATTTATCTAGTTTTATCTAGTTTTTTTTTACTTCTTCAATTTGAAATCTTTAAGTAACTTCAAACCAAAAAAAAATTAAAACACATTTTTATGTCTTTATAAGTTTTATCATCAAAAGCGTATGTTCACAAGCCTGTAATCCCAGCACTTTGGGAGGCCGAGGCAGGTGCATCACTTGAGGTCAGGGGTTCGAGATCAGCCTGGCCAACATGTTGAAACTCCATCTCTACTAAAAATACAAAAATTAGCCGGGTGTGGTTGCGAGCACCTGTAATCCCAGCTAGTTGGGAGGCTGAGGCAGGTGAATCACTCGAACCGGGGAGGCAGAGGTTGCAGTGAGCTGAGATCATGCCACTGCATGCCAGCCTGGGCAACAGAGCAAGACTCGTTCTCAAAAAAAGAAAAAAAAAGCGTATCTTGCTTTTTATACACTCTGTATGCAGAATTGTTTCTCTCATGTCTAGTAATTAAGTCTTAGGAGCCCCAATTTTCAGTGAAAACCCTAAAAAGTGATTTTCAACTGTCTTGTATCAGTATTTTTAGATAAAAACCATTTTATAACTTTTAAGAAATATAATTCTTCAAATTACTGTTTATTAACAGAACTAAAGCTATTTAGGTTTTGTATACCATATACAAGTAACGTGTCATGGTATATAGACCTAAACTAATTTTTAATGGTTAGTATTTCAATATTTTAGCTTACAAATGACTCAAGATATTTTATGGTTATGTATTACTTAATTTAATGTGATTTTAAGATTTTAAATTAATGAACAGAATTTTGAAACTATGACACAGGTGGCATCCGTAATGTCTTCCCTCAGTAATCCTCGGTTCCAAGTAGCCACATGGCACCCAGGAGAACTATGAAGATCAGGGCCTGCCTGAGTCCATTAGGACTAAAGACAGAACTGTGAAGGCTATAACTGGAGGATCCAACCCCGCCTAAAATAGCCAGGAGGCAAAACAGGGAAAGCATAGAAAGAAGGGGCCGATTGGGCTTGATTCTGGCTTGTAGCTGCTGGTCTAGGCACTGAGAATGTGTCTCCATACTTCTTCATGTTCACCTATCAAGACCCATGAATCAAGAAACTCTCAACAAAAGACGTAAGCTCACAGTTAAATCAAGCAAGTATCTAATTATTTTTAATGGATAATTGTAAAGCCATTTCTATTTAACGATTTAAGAATGAGCTTTATTTACAAAATATTATTACATACATGTAACACATATAGACATACAAACACACAGGAGCAGATCTTACAGCTTTCATAAAGGATTTAAAAAATGTTTTATTTTAGGTTTGGGGGTACATGTGAAGGTTTGTTACATAGATAAACTCATAACACAGGGGCTTGTTATACAGATTATTTCATAACACAAGTATTAAGCCCAGTACCCCACAGTTATCTTTTCTGTTCCTCTCCCTTCTCCCACCTTCCCCGCTCAGGTAGACCCCCAGTGTCTGTTGTCTGTTGTTCCCTTGTGTTCATAAGTTCTCATTATTTAGCTCCCATTTACAAGTGAGAACACGTAGCTGCATAGTATTCCATGGTGCATATGTGTGTTCTGTGTGGGAAACGTGTGAGGAAAGAAAAGAAACACACAATACTTTTAAAGGTAAACAGACTTTACCCCGAGTATATGGCAATATAGATATAATAAGCAAATGATACAACAAACAAATTTTAATGGGAAGGGGAGAAGGGAAAAAGTATATACATACATTTATATACATTTACACTCACCAGACTGTGGAGGATTCATCACCAGACTGGGAAACAACAGCCTGGGATTCAGAATTGGCCACTAGTCCGTGCACAGATGAGGAGAGGTCCCAGGAAGCTTCGGTGCGATCTGGAAACCGAGCTCTTTTTGTAACAAGTTGTTTGTCATGAGGCCCAGTCATGAGGGCCCTTTGCAACTGAGCTCAAGGAACACAAAAAGGTCAATTTGTTTTTGCAATTGCCTGTTGTTTTTCAATAACTGTTTTTCAATAACTGTTGTTTTTCAATAACTGTTTCTCCGAAGCAGCACTGGATGGATGCCTCAAGGGGCTCACACAACTCATTCCAGGACTTAGTGACCATTGTTTGTGTCCATGTTCAATTGAGTTCAAATTTAATATTTAACTTTTCCTCCACAGTGTGCCATATTATCTGCATCCAATCTGTCATCGTTGGGCATTTAGGTTGATTCCATGTCTTTACTATTGTGAATAGTGCTGCAACAAACATTTACGTGCTTGTGTCCTTATGACAGAACAATTTATATACCTCTGGGTATATACCCAGTAGTGAGATTGCTGGGTCAAGTGATAGTTCTGCTTTTATCTCTTTCGAGGAAAGCACTGTTGTGCTTTCCACAATGGTGGGACCAATGTACACTCCCACCAACAGTGTATGTCTTCTCTTTCTCCACAACCTTGCCAGCATCTGTTATTTTTTGACTTTTTCATAGTAGCCATCCTGACTGGTGTGAGATGGTGTCTCACTGTGCCTTTGATTTGCATTTCTCTAATGATCAGTGATATTGAGCTTTGTATTCTATGGTTGTTGGTCACATGTATATATTCTTTTGAAAAGCGTTCATGTCCTTTGCCCACTTTTTAAACACTTTTTTATTTCCATAGGTTTTAGGACAACAGGGGGCATTTGGTTACATTGGTAAGTTATTGATTGATTTGTAAGATTTTGGTGCATCCATCACCTCATCTGTATACACTGAACCCAATCTGTAGCCTTTTATCCCTCACCACCTTCTCCCCTTTCTCCGAGTCCCCAAAGTCCATTGTGTCATTCTTATGCTTTTGCATCCTTATAGCTTAGCTCCCAATTATAAGTGAGAATATATGATGTTTGGTTTTCCATTCCTGAGTTACTTCACTTAGAATAATAGTCTTCAATCCCATCCAGGTTGCTGCAACTGCCATTAATTCATTCCTTTTTGTGGCTGAGTGGTATTCCATCGTACGTATGTACCACAGTTTCTTCATCCACTCGTTGATTGATGGGCACTTGGATTGGTTCTACATTTTTGCAATTGCAAATTGTGCTGCCATAAATATGTGTGTGCAAGTATCTTTTTTCTTATAATGACTTTTTTTTCCTCTGGGTACATAGCCAGTAGTGGGATTGGTGGATCAAATGGTACTTCTACTTTTAGTTCTTTAAGGAATCGCCACACTATTGTCCATAGTGATTGTACTAACTTGCATTCCCACCAGCAGTGCAGAAGCGTTCCCTTTTCACCACATTCACACCAACATCTACTATTTTTTTATTATGACCATTCTTGTGGGAGTAGGGTGGCATTGCATTGTGGTTGTAATTTGCATTTCCCTGATCATTAGTTATGTTGAGCATTTTTTCATATGTTTGTTGGCCATTTGTATATCTTCTGAGAATTGTCTATGACCGTAGTGCCAAAAGCAATCTACAAATTCAATGCAATTGCCATCAAAATACCATCATCATTCTTCACAGAACTAGAAAAAACAATCCTAAAATTCATATGGAACCAAAAAGGAGCCCGCATAGCCAAAGCAATATTAAACAAACAGAACAAATCAGAAGGCATCACATTACCTGATTTCAAACTATATCATAAGACCATAGTCACCAAAACAGCATGGTTCTTGTATAAAAACAGGCACATAGACAAATAGAACATAATGAAGAACCCAGAAATTAACCCAAATATTTACAGCCAACTGATCTTTGACAAAGCAAACAAAAACAAAGTGGGGAAAGAACACCCTACCCAACAAATGGTACTGGGATAATTGGCAAGCCACAAGTAGGAGAATGAAATTGGATCTTTATCTCTCACCTTATACAAAAATCAACTCAAGATGGATCAAGAACTTAAATCTAGGACCTGAAAGTATAAAAATTCTAGATGATGACATCAAAAAAACCCTTCTAGACATTGGCTTAGGCAAAGATTTCATGACCAAGAACCCAAAAGCAAATGCAAGAAAAACAAAGATAAATAGGTGGGATTTAATTAAACTAAAGAGCTTTTTCACGGCAAAAGGAACAGTCAGCAGAGTAAACAGACAATCCACAGAATGGGAGAAAATCTTCACAATCTGTATATCTGACAAAGAACTAATATCCAGAATATACAATGAGCTCAAACAAATTAGCAAGAAAAAAACAAACAATCCCATCAAAAAGTAGGCTAAGGACATGCATAGACAATTCTTTGGACACTTTTTAATAGGGTTGTTTTTCTCTTGTAAATTTAAGTTCCTTATATTGAATATTAGATCCTTGTCAGAGACATAGTTTGTAAATACTTTTTCTCCTTTTATAGGTTGTCTGTTCACTCTATTGATAATTTCTTTTGCTGAGCAGAAGCTTTTAAGTTTAATTAGATCCCACTTGTCAATAGTTGCATTTGTTGTAATTGTTTTTGGTGTCTTTATCATGAAATCTTTGCCTGTTTCTATGTCCAGGATGGTATTGCCTAGGTTGTCTTCCAGGGCTTTTATAGTTTTGGGTTTTACATTTAAGTATTTAATCCATCTTGGGTTGATTTTTGTGTGTGGTATAAGGAAGAAGACCAACTTCAATCTTCTGCATATGGCTAGCAAGTTATTCCAGCACCATTTATTGAATAGGGAATCTTTTCCCCATTGCTTGTTTTTGCCAGCTTTGTCAAAGATTAGATAATTGTAGGTCTGTGGTCTTATTTCTGGGCTCTCTATTCTGTTCCATTGGTGTATGTGTCTGTTTTTATACCAGTACCGTGCTGTTTTGGTTACTGTAGTGCTGTAGTATAGTTTGAAGTCAAGTAATGTGATGCCTCAAGCTTTGCAGATTGCCTTGGCTACTTAGGTTCTTTCTTGGTTCTGTGCGAATTTTTAAATAGCTTTTTCTACTTCCGTGAAGCCTGTCATTGGTAGTTTAATATAGCTTTGGGCAGTACAACCATTTAAATGATATTACTTCTTTCTCTCCATTAACATGGAATGATTTTTCATTTGTTTGTGTTTTTTCTGACTTCTTTGAGCAGTGTTTTGTAATTTTCATTATAGAGATTTTTCACCACCCTGGTTAGCTGTATTCCTATGTATTTTATTCTTTTTGTGGAAATTGTGAATAAAATTGCCTCTCTGATTTGGCTCTTAGTTTGGCTCTTCTTGGTGTATAGGAATGTTAGCAAATTTTGTACATTGATTTTGTATCCTGAAACTGTGTGGAAGTTGTATCAGCTTAAGGAGCTTTTGGGTCACAACTATAGGGTTCAGATAGAGAATTATGTTGTCTGCAAACAGAGGTAGTTGGACTTCTCTTTCTATTTAAATACACTTTATTTCTTTCTCTTGTCTGATTGCTCCAGCAAGGACTTCTAATACTGTGTTGAATAGGAGTGGTGAGAGAGGGCATCTTTGTCTTGTGCCAGTTTTCAAGGAGAATGCTTCCAGACTTTGCCCATTTAGTATAATGCTGGCTGTGAGTTTGTCATAGGTGGCCTTTATTATTTTGAGGTATGTTCCTTCAATATCTCATTTATTGAGACTTTTTAACATGAAGCATTGCTGAATTTTACTGAAGGCTTTTCTGCGTCTATTGAGACAATTATGTGGTTCTTGTCTTTAGTTTTATTTATGTTATAAATCACATTTTATTGATTTGCCCATGATGGACCAACCTTCCATTCTAGGGAAGAATCCTACTCCTCTGTGGTGAATTAGACTTTTGATGTGTTGCTGGATTCGGTTTGCAAGGATTTTGTTGTGGATTATTGAATGGATGTTCATCAAGGATACTGGCCTGAAGCTTTCTTTTTTTGTTGTGTCACTGCCAGGCTTTGGTATCAGGATGATGCTGGCCTTGTAGAACAAGTTGGGGAAGAGTCCCTCCTCCTCTATTTCTTGAAATAGTTTTAGTAGGAATGGTACTGGCTCTTCTTCGTATATCTGTTAAAATTTTACTATTAATCTATCAGGTCCTGGGCTTTTTTTTTTTTTTTTTTTTTTTTTTTTGCTTGGTAGGCTATTTACTACTGATTGAATTTTTGGAGCTCATTATTGGTCTGTTCAGGGACTCAGTTTCTTCCTGGTTCAGCCTTGAGATGGTGTATGTGGCCAGGAATTTATCCATCTTTTCTAGGGTTTCTAGTTTGTGTGTGTAGATGTGTTCATAGTAGTTGCTGGTTGTTATTTTTATTTCTCTGGGGTCAGTGGTAACATTCCCTTCATCATTTCTAATTTTATTTGAATCTTCTCTCTTTTCTTCTTTATTCATCTAGCTAGTACCCTATCTATCTTATTAATTTTTTCAAAAAACTTTGATTAAGTGATTTTTTGAATAGTTTTTCATGTCTCTATTTCTTTCAGTTCTGCTCTGATTTTAGTTATTTCTTGTCTTCTATAAACTTTGTGGTTGAATTCTTCTTGCTTCTCTAATTCTTTCAGTTGTGATGTTAGGTTGTTAATTTGAGATCTTTCTAACTTTTTGATGTGGGCATTATTTCTTATGCCCTACCCTAACTTTTCTCCTTCTCCTAGAAAACTCAGAACTATGCTTTCTAAACCAATTCAAACTTTCTCAGTGAATCAACCTGGTCTCCCTGAGGCAAAGTTAGCAATTTTCCATTACGCATGGTCCTCTTTCTCTCTAAGAATATCTAACGCGACAATGCAAGTGTTTCATCCCTCCTGGGTATGCGAGGAATTCCTTTTGGCTGAGACCAAGACTTAAAACCTCAACATTAATGAAGATCTATTTAGAAAGCCTCCATTTTTTTATAGCAGCATGATTTATAATCCTTTGGATATATACCCAGTAATGGGATGGCTGGGTCAAATGCTATTTCTAGTTCTAGATCCTTGAGGAATCGCCACACTGTCTTCCACAGTGGTTGAACTAGTTTACAGTCCCACCAACAATGTAAAAGTGTTCCTATTTCTCCACATCCTCTCCAGCACCTGTTGTTTCCTGACTTTTTAATGATCACCATTCTAACTGGTGTGAGATGGTATCTCATTGTGGTTTTGATTTGCATTTCTCTGATGGTCAGTGATGATGAGCATTTTTTCATGTGTTTTTTGGCTGCATAAATGTCTTCTTTTGAGAAGTGTCTGTTCATATCCTTCACCCACTGGGGTTGTTTGTTTTTTTCTTGTAAATTTGTTTGAGTTCTTTGCAGAAATAGCTATACTTATACCAGACAAAAATAGATTTCAACAGAAGACTGTAGAAAGAGATTAAAAAGGTCATTATATAATAATAAACAGATCAATTCATCAAGAGGATATAATAATTGAAAATATATATGCACTCAACACTAAAGCACCTAGATAAATGAAGCAAATATTATAAGAGCTAAAGAAAGAGACCTCAATACAATAATGGCTGGACACTTCAATACCCCACTTTAGGCATTGGATAGACCTTGCAGACAGAAAATCAACAAAGAAACATCAGACAATCTGCACTATAGAACAAATGAACCTAATAGATATTTACAGAAAATTTCATGCAACAGCTGCAGAATAAACATTCTTCTCCTCAGCACATGGGTTATTCTCAAGGATAGACCATATGTTAAGTAACAAGTCTAAAAACATTCCAAAAAATTGAAGTAATATCAAGCATTTTCTCTGACGACAGGGAATAAAACTAGAAATCAATTTAAAAAGGAATTTCAGAAACTATACACACACGTGGACATTAAACAATATGATCCTGAATGATTAGTAGGTCGATAAAAAAGTTAAGAAGAACACAGAAAAATTTCTTGAAACAAATGATAATGGAAACATAGCATAGCAAAACCTATGGAATATAGTAAAAGAGGTACTATTATAAAAGGAAAATTTATAACTGTAAGTGCCTACATAAAAAACAGAAAAGCTTCAAATAAATAACCTAACAATACATCTTAATTAACTAGAATGAAAAGGCCAAACCAAACCCAAAATTAGAAGGAAAGAAATAATAAAGATTACAGTGGAAGTAAATAAAGATAAAATGAAGAAAACAATGCAAAAGATTAATGAAACAAAAAGTTGATTTTTTGAAAAGTAAAACAGTTGACAAATATTTAGACAGGCTAACTAAAAAACAGAGAAGATAGAAATTAGTAAAATCAGAGGTGAAAAAGGAGACATTACAAGTAACGCTTCAGAAAATCAAAAGGTCATTAGTGGCTACTATCAGCAATTGTATGCCAACAAATTAGAAAACCTAGAGGAAATTAATTCTTAGATACACACAGCTTACCCAGATTGAACTAGGAAAAAACCTAAAACCTGAACAGACCAATAACAATTAACAAAATTAAAGCCTTAATAAAAAAGTCAGTAGGACCAGACTGAAAAATAGAGAAGGAAAGAACATTTCCAAACTCATTCTTTGAGGCTAGTATTACCCTGATATCAAAACCAGACAAAGACACATTAAAAAGGCAAACTACAGGCCCATATCTGAGAATATTGGTGCAAAAATTTGCAAAACACCTAGCAAACTCAATTAAACAATACATAAATAGGTAAGTCATAATGACCAAGTGGGATTTATCCCAGGGATGCAAAGATGGTTCAACATTCAAATTAATCAATGTGATACATCACATAAACAGAATGAAGGGGTCAGGCACAGTGGCTCATGCCTGTAATCCCAGCACTTTGGGAAGCTGAGGCTGGCAGATCACCTGGGTTTAGGAGTTTGAAACCAGTCTGGCCAACATGGCAAAACCCCGTCTCTACTAAAAATACAAAAATTAAGCAGGCACGGTGGTGGGTGCCTGTAATCCCAGCTACTCGGGAGGCTAAAGAAGGAAAATCACTTGAACCCAGGAGGCAGAGGTTGCAGTGAGCTGAGATCACACCAATGCACTCCAGCCTGGGTGACAGAGGGAGACTTCATCTCAAAAAAAAATAAATAAATAAAAGGACAAAATCCATATAATCATTTCAATTATGCTAAAAAATTATTTGATAAAACTTAATATTCTTTAATTATAAAAAACTCTTTGAAAACTCGGTATGGAATGAACATACCTCAACATAATAAAAGTCATATATGACAGACCCACAGCTAGTATCATACTAAGTGGGGAAAAACTAAAAGCCTTTCCTCTAAAATCTGGAAGATGACAAGAATGTCCACTTTTACCACTGTTATTCAACATAATTCTGAAAGTCCTATCTGGAGCAATCAGACAAGAGAAAGCAATAAAAGGCACCCCAGTTGGAAAAGAAGTCAAATTATCTTTTTTTGCCAATGACATAGTCTTATATTTGAAAAAACATAAAGACTCCTCTGATAGGGTTTGAACGTGTGTCCCCTCCCAAATCTCATATTTAAATGTAATTCTCCATGTTGGAGGTGGGCCAGGTGATTTAACCATTGGGGTGGATTACTCAGAAATGGCTCAGCACCGTCCCACTTGGTACTATCCTCATAATAGTGAGTGAGTTCCTACAAGATCTGGTTATTTAAAAGTGTGTAACAACTCGCCCCTCTGTTTTTTGCTCCAGCTTTTTGCCCTTTGATGTGCAAGATTCTGCTTCAACTTCTGCCATGACTGTAAACTTCTACAGGCCACCCCAGAAGCATATGCCAGTGCTATGTCTTCTCTACAGCCTGTAGAACCATGAGCCACTTAAACCTCCTTTTTTAAAAATAAATTATCCAGTCCCACTCTTATAGTGATGCAAAAATAGCTTAATACAGAAAATTGGCACCAAGGAGTGAGAAATTGTTATAAGAATACCTGAAAATGTGAAATTAGCTTTGTAGTTGGATAAACAGGCAGAGGTTGGAAGAGTTTATAGGATTCAGAGGAAGACAGAAAAATAAGGGAAAGTTGAGATTTTCTTAGAGACTGGTTGAATGGCTGTGACCAAAATGCTGTTAGTGATCTGGACAGTGAAGGCCAAGCTGAGGAGGTCTCAGATAAAATTAGAAACTTATTAGGACCGAAACAAAAGTCATGCATGTTGTCTTAGCAAAGTGGCTGGCTGAATTTCTGTCATGCCCTAGGGATATATAAAACTTTGATTTTGAAATTGATGATTTAAGTTTTCTGTTGGAAAAATGTCTAAGCAGCAAAGCATTTGAGATGTTGCCTGGCTGCTTCTAACAACCTATGCTCACATGATCTAGCAAAAAAAATATATAAGTTGTAACTTATACTTACAAGGGAAGCATAGTGTAAAAGCTTGAAAACTTTGCAGGCTAGTCCTGTGCCTAAAACATAAAAAGATTTTATAAGAGAGGAACTCAAGCACGCTATGGAGCAACGACTTGTTAGAGGTATTTGTGTAACCTAAAAAAAAAGCAAGTGTTGATAGCCAAGACAATGGGAAAGAGGACTTGAAGGCATTTTAGAAATCTGAAAGGCAGCCCCCAATCACAGGCCTTGAGGCCTAAAAGAAGAGAATAGTTTCTGGGATCAGGCCCAGGATCTGCTGCCTTGGGTAGCTTTGGAACATGGCTCCCTGCATCCTGACCATTGCTTCAGCTCCAGGTGTAGGTCAAATTGATCCAGTTACAACTCCAGTCACTGCTTCAGAGGGTGCAAGCCATAAGCCTTGGTAGCTTCCATGTGGTGTTAGGCCTGTGGGTTTACAAAATGCAAGAGTTGAGACTTGGGATCTTCCACCTTTGTTTCAAAGGATGTGTGAACAAGCCAGGGTGTGCAGACAGAAGCATGCTGCAGGGGTGGAGCATTCATGGAGAACCTCTACTAAAACAATGGAGAAAAGAAATGTGGGGTGACAGTCCCCATGCAGGCTCCCCACTGGGGCATGGCCTAGTAGATCTGTGAGGAGAAGGTCACTGTCCTCCAGACCGCATAATGGTAGATCTAGCTACAGCTTGCACCTTGCACCTGGAAAAGCCAGAGACACACAATACCAGCCAGAGGTACACAATGCCAGCCCATGAGAGCAGCTATGGGGGCGGAACCATGCAAAGTCACAAGGTTGAACCTTCCCAAGGCATTAGTGTGCCCTGGAAATGGGACACAGAGTCAAAAATAATTATTTTAGAGCCTTATAATTCAATAACTGCCCTTCTGGGTTTCAGACTTTCGTGGGTCCTGTGGCCCCTTTCTTTTGGCTGATTTCTTCCTTTTAGAATAGGAGTATTTACCCAATGCCTCTGCCCCATTTGTATCTTGGAAGTACCTAACTTGTTTTTTTATTTTACAGGCTTATAGGAGGAATAAACTAGCTTTGTCTTAGATGAGACTTTTGACTTTTGAGTTAAGGCTGAAATGAGTTAAGACTTTGGGAATTATTGGGAAGTCATGATTGTATTTTGAAATATGAGAAGGATATGAGATTTGGAATGGCCAGGGCAAAATGATATAGTTTGGGTGTGTGTTCCCACCAAAATCTTACACTGAAATGTAATCCTCAATGTTGGAAGTGGGCCTAGTGGGGAGGTGATTGAATCAAGAGGGCAGGATTTCCATGAAGAGTTCAGCATCATTTCCTTTGGTGCCATTCCCACAATAGTAAGTTTTCACGAGAGCTGGTTATCTACAAGTGTGTAGCACTTACACTCTGCCCTCACACTTACCATGTGATGTGCAAGCATCGGATTTATTTTTCACCTTGTCAGTTGCCAGAGGCTTCCCCAGAAGCAGAAGCCAGTGCTATGCTTTCTGTACAGCCTGTAGAACCATGAACCAATTAAATCTATTTCCTTTACAAATTAACCGGTCACTGATTTTTTTTTATAGCAATGTGAGAATGGCCTAATACATCCACCAAAAAAACTATTAGAAGTAATAACTTGAGTAAATTTGCAGAATACAAAATCAACATATACAAATCAGTAGGAATGCTATATGCCAACAGTCAACAAAGTGAAAAAGAATTCAAAAATGTAACACTATTTGCAATAGCCACAAATAAAACACAATGTGTGGGAACTTACCAAAGAAATAAAAGTTCTCAACAATTAAAACTGTAAAACACTGATAAAAGAAATGAAAAAGGACCCAAAAATTGGAAAGATATTTTTATGTTCACAGATTGGAAGAATCAGTATTTTTCTAAAATGTCCATACAATCCAAAGAAATCTATACATTTCATGCCATCTCTATCAAAATAACAGGCCAGGGGCAGTGGCTCATGCCTGTAATCCCAGCACTTTGGGAGGCCGAGGTGGGTGGACCATGAGGTCAGGAGTTCAAGACCAGCCTGGCCAAATTTGTGAAACCCCATCTCTACTAAAAATACAAAAAAATTAGCTGGGCGTGGTGGCGGGTGCCTTCCCAGCTACTCAGGAGGCTGAGGTAGGTAATTGCTTGAGCCCAGGAGGCAGAGGTTGCAGTAAGCCGAGATTGCATCACTGCACTCCAGTCTAGGTGACAGAGCGAGATGCCATCTAAAAAAAAAAAAAAAAAAAAAAGACATTCCTCACAGAAACAGAAAAAAAATTCTGAAATTTATATGGAACTGTCACAAAACACCATAATAGTCAAAGCTGTGCTGAGTATATAAAACAAAACTGGAGGAATTCCATTACCTGGTTTTAAATTATACTACTAAGTTATAGTAATTAAAACAGCATGACACTAGCATAAAAACAGACATAAAGCCAAATGGAACAAAATAGAGACCTTAGAAACAAACTCATACAGCTAAGCTAAACTTATTTTCAACAAAAGTGCCAAGAATATACAACAAAAAATAAGACAGTTTTTGTAATAAATAGGGCTGGGAAAAGTGGCAGGTCATAGGCAGAAGAATAAAACTAGAACCCTATTTCTTGCCACATAAAAAATCAAATTAAAATGAATTAAAGACTTAAACCTAACATCTCAAACTATCACATTTTTACAATAAAACATTGGGGAAACCCTTTAGGGCATTGGTTTGGGCAAAAATTTCTTAAATAGTGCCCCATAAGCACAGACAACCAAAACAAACACGGGCAAATGGGATTACAGCAAGTCAGAAAGCCTTTTTAAAGTGAAGGAAACAATAAACAAAGTGAAGAGAAAATCCACAGAATGGGAGAAAATATTTGTAAGTTATCCATCTGAAAGGCAATTAATAGCTACATGATATGGTTAGGCTTTGTGTCCCCACCCAAATCTCATATTGAATTGTAATTCCCAGGTTTTGGGGGAGAGACCCGGCAGAAGGTGATTGGATCATGGGGGTGGTTTCCCCCAGGCTGTTCTTCTGATAGTGAGTGAGTTCTCATGAGATCTGATGGTTTTATAAGGGACTCTTCCCCCTTTGCTTCACATACATGCTGTCTCGCCTGCTGTCATGTAAGAGGTGACTGCTTCCCCATCTGCCATGATTGTAAGTTTCCTGAAGCCTGCCAAGCCATGTGGAACTGTGAGTCAATTAAACCCATTTCCTTTATAAATTACTCAGTCTTGCCAGGTGCGGTGGTTCATGCCTGTAATCTCACCACTTTGGGAGGCCAAGTGGGGGTTGGATCACGAGGTCAGGAGTTCAAGACCAGCCTGGCCAAGATGGTGAAACCCTGTCTCTACTAAAAATACAAAAATTAGCCAGGCATGGTGGCAGGTGCCTGTAATCCCAGCTACTCAGGAGGCTGAGACAGAGAATTGCTTGAACCAGGAGGTGGAGTTTGCAGTGAGCCGAGATTGCACCACTGCACTTCAGCCTGGGTAACAGATCAAGACTTCATCTCGTTAAATAAATAGATAACCCAGTCTTGAGTATTTTTTTATAGCAGTGCTGAAACAGACTAATACACTACAATATATTGAGTTCAAAAATTTCTATAAAAAATATAATAATCCAATTAAAGGATGGACAAAAAATTTAAATAGACATTTATGAAAAGAAGACATACAAATGTCAAGCAGGCAAATGAAAAGGTGCTACACATTACTGATCATCATAGAAATGCAAATCAAACCCAAAATGAGATATCATTTCACCCCAGTTAAGGTGGCTTTTATCCAGAAGTCAGTCAAAAACCAATGCTGGTGAGTATGTGGAGTGAAGGGAACCCTTGTACACTGTTGTTGGGAGCACAATTAAGGACAGTTTGGATGTTCCTGATATAACTAAAAATAGAGCTACTAAAAGGTCTAGCAATCCCACTGCTCAGTATATGCCTAAAAGAAATAAAATTGGTAGATCAAAGACATATTGGCACTCTCATATTTGCTACAGCAGGGTTTATAATAGCCAAGATTTGGAAGGAACTTAAATGTCCCTCAACAGCTGACTGGATAGAGAAAATATGGTACATATACACGGTGGAGTACTATTCAGCTATAAGAAAGAATGAGAGTCTGCCATTTGCAATAACATAAATGGAACTGAAAGTCTTTATGTTAAGTGAAATAAGTCGGGCACAGAAAGACAAATGTCACATGTTCTCACTTATTTGTGTGTGCTAAAATTCGAAACAATTGGTGTCATAGAGATAGAGAGTATAAGGATGGTTACCAGAGGCTGGGAAGGGCAGTGAGGGAACAGGGTGTTAGTGGGGATGCGAAATGGGTACAAAAAACTGTTAGAAAGAATGAATAAGACAGCATTTGATAGCACAACAGGGTGATTATAGTCAAAAATAATTTAACTATACATTTTAAAAAACTAAAAGTATAATTGGATTGTTTATAACACAAGCTATACATGCTTGAGGGGATGGACACCCCATTTTTTTATTATGCATTACTCATTGCATGCCTGTATCAAAGTATGTCATGTATCCCCATAAATATATACACCAACTATGTACCCACAAAAATAAATTAAAAATTGAAATCAAAATTAAAACCAAAGGGAGGAGAGTATAATGAGGCCTGTGTGACCCATGGCTTGAACTAGCTTTTCATGTTAACTTTGGAATGTCCTTATCCAAGAAGAGGTGTCCATTTAGTCAATAGGGGCTTAGAAATTTATTTTTAGTTTATTTATTTTTAGTTTAGTTTATAGCAATAACCTCTCCATCATTATGACTAGAAGTTGAAATGTGGTATTTAACAACCCTACATGATAAGATCAGATATGCCTGTTTAGTGACAGCCTACTTTATGACAAAATTTATTTTTCATTTATAAGTGGAAAAAAGGATTTTTAATCCTGAGCCATAGCTCTCAGTCAATCAATCCCTGCAGGGAACCCTGTTATTTTCCACTGAATAACACCACATTTCAAAGTGAGGGGAAACATCTTGAAACTAAGAGGTACAGCCTTATTAAATTTGATTTGGTTTCAATTGTAATTAATTTAATCACATGCATTCTAGAGTTTGTCCTTAGTCTTCTCCTACTTTAGGCCCATGATCTGTTGAATTTGCTCAGCTCCCTGCTCAACAGCAGGAAATCAGTTAGAATTATTTAAAAATCTCATTGTGGCTGGGAGTGGTGGCTCATGCCTGTAATCCCAGCAATTTGGGAGGCCCAGGTGGGCAGATCGCCTGTTGTCAGGAGTTTGAGACAAGCCCAGCCAACAGAGTGAAATCCCATCTCTACTAAAGATACAAAAATTAGCTGGGTGTGTTGATGCATGCCTGTAATCGCAGCTACTTGGGAAGCTGAGGCAGGAGAATTGCTTGAACCCGGGAGGTGGAGGTTTCAGTGAGCCAGGATGGTACACTACAATCCACCCTGGGCAACAGAGAAGACTCTGTCTCAAAATAATAATAATAATAAATAAGTAAAAATAAAAATGTCATTGTGTTTCAAATTTCTCTTGAATATCAACTGTATCAACTTGCATATTACCTATAATCATTTTGCTTACTTTATATCCAATCTTGAGAAATCTTTGAGGACTAATTTCACTCTTTTCTGCCATTTTGGTAAACATACCAAATTCCATCAAACAAAATGCACAGAATTCCTGAGAAATACATTTTCTCCTTGAGCAGTAGACTTATTGTGTTAGAGGAACTCATGAATAACAAGCTTCTAGTTTAGTAAACATGACTAGAATACTCTATCTTAATATGAGTAGCTAGGTACTCACAAGGCATCTAGAAGATTAATGCTCATGGTCTGAAAATAGCCACATTTTTTAGCTGGCCACAAATTATAACTGGAGAATATTTGTGGTCATACAAGACATATTCCACCAAGCCTGAAAAACGTATACATGTCCTAGGAGTGCAGCATTTTTTTTGTAAGGATAATATTAATGAGCTTGCTTAGGTCAATGGGTTAATGGTCATTGTTAAAACCAATAGCCCCGACTTTAGTGAGTACATTTGCACCTTCCAAGTTTAATTATAACTCTTTGTCTTTATAGTTACTTATAAGAAGAGACACTAACAAAAGACAATGCATTCCTGCTCTTGTTTGCTGAGGGTGTCCAACTCTAATGGAGTCATTTCTAGTAAACTTGCTTCTTTCACTGTGCTCTCTGACTCACCTCAATTTTTTTCCTGCACAAGATCTAAGAATCCTACTTTGTGGTCTGTATCAGGACCCTCTTTTCCAGCAACATCTTTCAGCAACACCATGAAGGGACACCAAGACAAGACCCCCACTCCAAGGAAAACAATCCACACAGAATCAGTCAGCTGACACCTGGCAAGTGGGCCGTCTTTTAGAGTCGTGAAGCCATTCTGGTGGGCAAGAATGATGATCCACTACTACTTAAGCAAGAGGCCCTAGGGCATAATGTTAGGGTGAGACACTCAGCCCCAAAAATTAGAGGCCCGGGGGCATCATACTCAGATTAGAGGCCAAGCTCACAGGGTTAGAGGCCCTTGGGAATATTGAGAAGAATGGATTTGGCTAAACAAGATGTTTGCCACTTTCTCTTTTTGGACTGTCCACCTTGTGCTCTCTGTCCCTCACCTGAGTGCTCTGTATCTTGTCACCTTTCTGCTCACCTCCTCTGTTTTGTAGTAGCCTGGAGGCTGCCCCAGGAAAGAGGCCCCAAACAGTTTAGCTTTTGCTTTCCTCAGCGATCCTCTGACTTTTAGCTGATTGCTTGTTTAATTTGCCACTGGTCCAAGTGACACTGAAAAAAGAGAGATGTCTTGGAACCTAGTATTTTTGTACCTTAATTATCAGAAAAAAAATCAGCAATAACCTCTCCATCATTATGACTAGAAGTTGAAATGTGGTATTTAACAGCCCTACATGATAAGATCAGATATACCTGTTTAGTGACAGCCTCTTTTATGACAACCCTCTGCAAACAATTAGCCTCAAGATGGAGAACATGGGACTTTTTCTTAACAGTTTTCTCTCATTTCTTAACCATAACGCCATCTTTGATGAGCTGGTATAGGGCAGCTGGACCCTACTTTCTAAACCCAGTATCCCACTTTTTTCCTGACAGAGTTTTATCAGTTTTGTCATAGCAGTGTGAAAATGGACTAGTACATTACAATATACAAGTTACAGCCTTCCCATTTCCCCTGTTCAGTCTGACTCCTTTTTTTGCAGCTTAATTTGTTTTATAGAAGAGAAACTAAATGGGAGGAAATACTTTACATATAGGCTTCTCTGATGCTTGGTCAGGATAAAAAATTAAAATGGGCTTCTATATGTTTGATGGAGGAAAAGACAAAATAGGGATGGCACGTAATTGATTACCCTTTTAATGCAAGTGCCTCTTAATATTAGGCTTTTCTTAGCTGGGGCTGAACTCCCCCTGCCAGTCCGACAACCCCATGAGAACACAGTCAGACTCCTTCCAGTTCTGGTGAGGTGTGCAACATGTTATTAATTTCTTCTAGTTTTCCAGGGTTATCTAGTGTCTGGTCATCGTCTTCTCCCTGCCCTTCGAGTCCTGTCTTAAGTACACACCCCACTGTCGGAACACGTGAGCTTCACCAGAACAACATGCAGTGGGGCCTCTTATCAGCTGGCAAACTTGAATGTTTGCCCTCTCTGGGAAGTGACAGATGATAAAAAGGACACTATATAGGTATATGTACCCTTTTCTATGTCTGAACTAGCCATATACAAGGAAAAGCTAAAACAGTTTTCAGAGGTGCCTGAAAATTTGTAGACAAATTTAAGAGGCTAACCTTGTTTACGATCTGGCCAGGCAGGACTTGCATATGTTTATGTTTTCCTGCTGCATGGCAGAAAGGCAGTGTGTTATTCTCTTTGAAGCAGTTGTGAATGGGAGTTCACTCATGATTTGGCTCTCTGTTTGTCTGTTATTGGTGTATAAGAATGCTTGTGATATTTGCACATTGATTTTGTATCCTGAGACTTTGCTGAAGTTGCTTATCAGCTTAAGGAGATTTTGGGCTGAGATGATGGGGTTTCTAGATATACAATCATGTCATCTGCAAACAGGGAAAATTAGACTTCCTCTTTTCCTGATTGAATATCCTTTATTTCCTTCTCCTTCCTGAATGCCTTGGTCAGAACTTCCAACACTATGTTGAATAGGAGTGGTGAGAGAGGGCATCCCTGTCTTGTGCCGGTTTTCAAAGGGAATGCTTCCAGTTTTTGCCCATTCAGTATGATATTGACTGTGGGTTTGTCATAGATAGCTCTTATTATTTTGAGATACGTCCCATCAATACCTAATTTTTTGAGAGTTTTTAGCATGAAGGTTTGTTGAATTTTGTCAAAGGCCTTTTCTGCATCTATTGAGATAATCATGTGGTTTTTGTCGTTGGTTCTGTTTATATGCTGGATTACATTTATTGATTTGCATATGTTGAGCCAGCCTTGCATCCCAGGGATGAAGCCCACTTGATCATGGTGGATAAGCTTTTTGATGTGGTGCTGGATTCGGTTTGCCAGTACTTTATTGAGGATTTCTGCATTGATGTTCATCAGAGATATTGGTCTAAAATTCTCTTTTTTTGTTGTGTCTCTGCCAGGCTTTGGTATCACGATGATGCTGGCCTCATAAAATGAGTTAGGGAGGGTTCCCTCTTTTTCTATTGATTGGAATAGTTTCAGAAGGAATGGTACCAGCTCCTCCTTGTACCTCTGGTAGAATTAGGCTGTGAATCCATCTGGTCCTGGACTTTCTTTGGTTGATAAAATACCTAGGAATCCAACTTAAAAGGGATGTGAAGGACCTCTTCAAGGAGAACTACAAACCACTGCTCAATGAAATAAAAGAGGATACAAACAAATGGAAGAACATTCCATGCTCATGGGTAGGAAGAACCAATATTGTGAAAATGGCCATACTGCCCAAGGTAATTTATAGATTCAATGCTATCTCTATCAAGCTACCGATGACTTTCTTCACAAAATTGGAAAAAGCTACTTTAAAGTTCATATGGAACCAAAAAAGAACCTGCATCGCCAAGTCAATCCTAAGCCAAAAGAACAAAGCTGGAGGCATCATGCTACCTGACTTCAAACTATACTATAAGGCTACAGTAACCAAAACGGCATGGTGCTGATACCAAAACAGAGATGTAGACCAATGGAACAGAACAGAGCCCTCAGAAATAACGCCACATATCTACAACTATCTGATCTTTGACAAACCTGACAAAAAACAAGAAATGGGGAAAAGATTCCCTATTTAATAAATGGTGCTGGGAAAACTGGCCAGACATATGTAGAAAGCTGAAACTGGATCCCTTCCCTACACCTTACACAAAAATTAATTCAAGATGGATTAAAGACTTAAATGTTAGACCTAAAACCATAAAAACCCTAGAAGAAAACCTAGGCAATACCATTCAGGACATAGGCATGGGCAAGGACTTCATGTCTAAAACACCAAAAGCAATGGCAAGCAAAGCCAAAATTGACAAATGGGATCTAATTAAACTAAAGAGCTTCTGCACAGCAAAAGAAACTACTGTCAGAGTGAACAGGCAACCTACAGTGTGGGAGAAAATTTTTGCAACCTACTCATCTGACAAAGGGCTAATATCCAGAATCTATAATGAACTCAAACAAATTTACCAGAAAACAACAAATAACCCCATCAAAAAGTGGGCAAAGGATATGAACAGACACTTCTCAAAAGAAGACATTTATGCAGCCAACAGACACATGAAAAAATGCTCACCATCACTGGCCATCAGAGAAATGCAAATCAAAACCACAATGAGATACCATCTTACACCAGTTAGAATGGCAATCATTAAAAAGTCAGGAAACAACAGGTGCTGGAGAGGATGTGGAGAAATAGGAACGCTTTTACACTGTTGGTGGGAGTGTAATTTAGTTCAACCATTGTGGAAGACAGTGTGGTGATTCCTCAGGGATCTAGAACTAGAAATACCATTTGACCCAGGCATCCTATTACTGGGTATATGCCCAAAGGATTATAAAACATGCTGCTATAAAGACACATGCACACGTATGTTTATTGTGGCACTATTCACAATAGCAAAGACTTCAAACCAACCCAAGTGTCCATCAATGATAGACTGGTTTAAGAAAATATGGTACATATATACCATGGAATACTATGCAGCCATAAAAAAGGATGAGTTGATGTTCTTTGTAGGGACATGGATGAAGCTGGAAACCATCATTCTCAGCAAACAATTACAAGGACAAAAAACCAAACACAGCATGTTCTCACTCATAGGTGGGAATTGAACAGTGAGAACACACGGACACAGGAAGGGGAACATCACACACCGGGGCCTGTTGTGGGGTGGGGGGAGGGGGGAGGGATAGCATTAGGAGATATACCTAATGTTAAATGACGAGTTAATGGGTGCAGCACACCAACATGGCACATGTATACATATGTAACTAACCTGCACGTGGTGCACATGTACCCTAAAACTTAAAGTATAATTAAAAAAAAAAGAAAAAAGAAAAGCAGTGTGTTATGGGAGTGGTAGAGCACATGCTAATAGGGTGGCAGCCTGCAACCAGGGACATGACACCTATCAAGTGGGAGGCACAGAAGTGCCTGATTAGGACTCAAAAGAGAACTAGAATCTAGAAAAGATGAATGAATTAGGAAGAAAGTGGGATATAGAGAGAAAAAATTATGATCATTTGACTCCTTGAAGGAATAAAAAAAATTGTGATAAAGCTTTTTAATTTTTATAAAGTCTGGAAAATTACTCGGAAAAGATGAAAACCTAGCCTTATTACAAGGGTGGATAATTTAGACCTTGAGAAAATACACTAACACTGACCCTTACTCCAAGAAGGGATAGGCATTGCTAGGAGTTTACTTTATAGCCCAGCCTGCTTCTGATATCTGCAGGAAGCCGCCAAAAGCAGCCTTAGGCTTCCAGACTCCCATGGATCAGATTTTAGATTTGGATTTTGCAGTTTTCCATCACAGGAATAGGGCAGAGAAAACATAAAATAAACCAAATGTCCCAAAAGGCCCAGCTTCTAGCTGCAGCCTTGTGCTCTCCACCACTTCAGAGGCAGCCCGTTAACCCTGGCCCTCACAGAGGAAGTGAGAAGGTGAAAGTCCCAGTCTGTGCCTCTGGGCCACTGTGTCGTGGATATAAATCAATGTGCCTTCTGTAAGAAGGTCAGCCACTGCTGAAGGAAATGCACTGTGCTTTCAAGGGAGCCAACCTCAGAGCCCAGCAGACTTGAAAGTGGGAGGGCCTGTTACTTCCTGCCTCCACTCCCATTGGACTATTAGGTATCCAGAGATGGAGAAGCCTCAGGTGACTCTTGTAGTGGCAGGTAGGAGTATTAACTTCTTATTAGGTGTGGGAGCAGATGACTCTGTCCTGATTCAATACAGTGGGCTCCTGTCTCTTCATGATGGACAAGCCCAAAATAACTGCTTTTTGTATCTTCTAAGTTGTCCTCCAGGGCCTCTGGGCTTCTCACCTACCTTTTTAGTACGGTCTGAATGCCTGATCTCTTACTGGGGAGAAGTTTATTGACTCAGGAGACCAAGTCATGGTCACCTTCACAGATCATAAATCATAGAAAGTGTTACTTTTGTTCCTGACCCCTCAGGGGAAAAAAAAGAAGTTAAGAATGAGCTGTCACATTTACCACCTGAGGTATTGTCTCAAGTAAATCTTGAAGTTTGGGCCACACAGGCTCTGGGAAATGCACTAAACACCTCCCCGATTCAAATCCAACTTCAGCCTAGTGCTCCTCGCCCTCAGAAGAGACAATACATTTTAAGGCAAGAAGCATGAGGGGAAATTCAACCCCTTATTGCCAAATTCTTGCCATATGAGTTATGAAGCCCATGAGAGTCTCCTTACAATACTCGCATGTTACCAGATAAAAAGCCTAATGGCAAGTACAGATTTGTCAGAACCCTTAGAGCGCTAAGAAATGCAGTTGTCTCCATACACCTCATTGTCCCCAATACTTACCAAGTCCCAGGGGATGCAAGCTGGTTTACATTCTTAAATCTGAAAGACGCATTTTTCTGCATCTCAATGCATCCAGATTCACAATATGTTTGCCTTTGAATGGACTAATCCAGATACACATTCAGCCTCAAAACTAACCTGGACAGTCGTCTCTGAAGGGTTCTGGGATAGCCCCCACTTATTTGAAAATGCTCTAGCTAAGGACTTAAGAAATCTACAACTGGAAAGGGACACAATTATTCAGTATGTAGGTGACTTGCTCATTGCTAGCCCAACTAAAGAAGACTCAAATAATAATACTGTTAAGTTGGTAAGTTTCCTGGGAAGTTGCAGATATACGGTATCCCCATACAGGGCTCAGATTTTGACTCAAAGACTTAAATATTTGGAATCTGTCTTAACCACTGGAACTGATCAACAACCCTAGAAGATAAAAAAGTTATTTTAGTCACCGAAGGGTCCCAGTCCAACAAATGACTGTGGGCTCTTTTAGGAGATGGCTGGGTACTGCTGCTTATGGTTGCCCAGATTTGGACATGTAGCCAAGCCTTTATATGATACACTAAAGGGAAAGATTTAGAGCTCCTAGAACGTAATGAGAACTGCAAGCAAACCTTCAATACTCTCAAGGAGAAATTGAGCTCTGCTGCAGCCATGGGAGTCCCCAAGTTGGATGAACCATTTTTTCTTTATGTGACCAAAAAGCAAGGCATAGGCCTTGGGTAATCTTGTCTCAAAACTGGGGGACATTCCAAGGCCAGTAGCCTAATTTTCTAAGCAGATAGACCAGGCGGCCTCAGGGTGGCCTTGATGTCTTAGAGCTATTGCTGCTACCACTTTTCTAGCAGGCAAAGCTAATAAACTAACATTAGAACAGCACCTACAGGTTTTTGACCCCACACCAAGGGAAGGTGGTCCTGGAAGCTAAAGGGCAGCAGTGGATAATAGGAGAACATTTATGAAAGTGTCAGGCCTTATTGCTAGACCCTCCAGACACAACCCTTAAAGCCTGCCAAACCACAAACCCAGCTACTTAGCTGTCAGAGTCCACAGGTGCTCCCAGCCTTTCTGGCATACAGGCTGTATTAGTCTGTTCTCACGCTGCTAATAAAGACATATCTGAGGCTGGGAAATTTATAAAGAAAAGAGGTTTAATTGACTCACAGTTCCACATGGTCGGAGAGGCCTCACACTCATGGCAGAAGGCAGGTGAGGAACAAAGTCACATCTCTTACGTGGCAGCAGGCAAAAGAGCTTGTGTAGGGAAACTCCCCTTTATAAAACCATCAGCTGTAATCCAGCACTTTGGGAGGCCAAGGCAGTGGATGACCTGAGGTGAGGAGATGGAGGCCAGCCTGGCCAACATGGTGAAACCCTGTCTATACTAAAAGTGCAAAAATTAAACAGGCATGGTTGTGGGCACCTGTAATCCCAGCTACTCGGGAAGCTGAGACAGGAGAATCGCTTGAACCCAGGAGTCAGAGTTTGCAGTGAGCCAAGATCACGATAATGCACTCCAGCCTGAGCAACAGAGCAAGACTATGTATCAAAAATAAATAAATAAATAAACTATCAGATCTCATGAGGCTTATTCACTGTCACGAGAACAGCATGGGAAAGACCCATCCCCTGATTCAATTACCTCCCACTGGGTCCCTCCCACGATATATGGGAATTATGGGAGCTACAATTCAAGATAAGACTTGACTGGGGGCACAGCCAAAGCATGTCACAGGTTATGAAACAAATTGATCTAGCAGGCCAGACGTAGGAGAGATGAGCTCCTTGACCATCCCAAGGCAGAGTGGTTAACAGATGCAAGTTGTTTTATGCATCAGGAAAACAGGAGGTCTAGATATGCTATTAGTAGTCAGCACAAGAGAATCAAGGCACAAGCCTTGCTGGCCTCGACCTCAGCTCAAAAAGCTGAGTTAATTGAACTTACTAGGCCCCTGCAGTTGGAAAGGATTTAAAAGTTAACATTTACACTGATTCCAAGTATGATTTTTTAGTGCTTCATGCTTATGCTGCAATTTGGAATGGGTGGGGACTCCTGACCCCAAGGGCTTTTCCATACAACATCATTCAGATTTTGAGCTTGTTAGAATACTGCTTTGCTGCCAGAAAGTGACTATAATTAATTGCAGAGGACATCAAAAGAGAGACTGACCATGTAAAAGGAAATGACCTTGTAGCTGCAGCCAAGGCCCCTGCACTGAAAGGGCCAATGAAGCTTATGGGCGTGCTGGTCAGCATACATAGAACTGGGCCGGAACACTCTGAAGAAGAACAGAAATGGGCCAGGGATTGCATTTCAGTCCAGGGCCCCTCGGGCTGGCTGAATGATGGTAATAAATTACTAATGCCAAGTACCAATCACAAGAGTATAACTCAGCACTTTCATGATTCTTTTCACCCTAGAAGGGATTCTTTGTTTCTGTTAATGTCTCACTTGTTTATAGGGGTAAATCTTTTCAAGACACTAAAACAGGTGACTCAGCACTGTGAGCTCTGTGCCTGACATGACCCAAACGGCCAGCAATTTTCTCCTCCAGTTAAACCTGTCCAAAATTAAGGAACCTATCCAGGTGAGAACTGGCAACTCTAATGTACCCCAATGACTTTCTGCAAGAGATTCAAATATTTGCTAATGCTTACTGATACCTTCACTGGTTAGATCGAGGCATTCCCCACCCCATCTGAAAAATGTTTACCAGAAGAAATAACTCCTCAGTTTGGGTAATCTAAAAGCCTGCAAAGTGACAATGGCCCATCTTTCACAGCAGGCGTAACCCAACACCTATCCTCAGCTTTAAGAATCCAATATTACCTTCACTCTGTGTGGAGACCGCAGTCCTCTGGAAAGGTGAAAGGGCTAATCCTAAAGAAGACTCTAGCTAAATCAGAGGCCTGACTATCTCTAACACCCATAGCTTACTGCAGATTTGAACTGCTCCAAAGTAAAACGTATAATTAAGTCCTGTTAACATGTGGAAGGCCTTTCCTAACGACAGATCTCCTAATAGATGAAAAGATTCATCAATTACAAAAATATGTCATCAATCTAGGACAGGTGCAAAGGCACTCCGTGCATATGGAAACAAGCGTCTTCCCCTCCCACATGGGAGGAAAATTCAGTTTCAGCTCAGCTAGGGATTTAGTCTTACTAAAGACGTGGGAGGAAGTTCTCCAGCTGAGCAGCTTTCCCCAACGTGGAAGGGACCACGCAAGGACACCTGAGTTCTCCAACAGACGTTCAACGCCAGGGGAGTCACAGGTGGGTGCACCTGTGTGGAAGTAAAGCTGTTGCTTATTCTGGGAGCCCAATCCTAGGCTGAGGGAGGTGGGCGCGGGGCTGTTTAAGCGTTGGCGGAGGCCGGGCTGGGTCGCTGTGCGTCTGCTCCTCCTTCTCGCGCTTCTCCTGCCGCCCTAATCCTGCCTTGGCCACGAGGGAGCTTGTGCTCACGCAGACCGGGCAGTGCGGGAACCAGATCGGCGCCAAGGTTGGCAGCCGGGGCTCTGAGGGCCCAGCCCGGGCCTGCCGGGTGGCCGGGGAAGATGTTGGCAGCGGCGGGGGCGGTGCCCCTGCATTGCGGCCCCTGGGCTCCCTGCCGGGGACGGTGGAACCGGGTGGCTGGCGAGGCGGCGGGGGTGGACCCCAGGGACAGGGCGGCCTGGGGATGGGGGTGCGGATGGGGGTGGGAGAGCGGCTGGGGCGCCTCCGTGACTCAGCCCCGGCCTGTCTGGCCCCTCCCGTCTCCGCAGTTCTGGGAGGTGATCTCTGATGAACATGCCATCGACTCCGCTGGCACCTACCACGGGGACAGCCACCTGCAGCTGGAGCGCATCAACGTGCACCACCACGAGGCCAGCGGTGCGACCCCCGTCCTTCCCCCACCGCCCTCCTGGGAACGCGGCCCTCCCCTCGCTCATGCCCTCCCGCCCCACGCAGGTGGCAGGTACGTGTCCCGCGCTGTGCTCGTGGATCTGGAGCCGGGCACCATGGACTCTGTGCGCTCGGGGCCCTTCGGGCAGGTCTTCAGGCCAGACAACTTCATTTCCCGTGAGCTGCGGGCGAGGACTGGGGTGCGGCTCCTTAGCCAGGGCAGCTCGAAATCCAGGAACGCTCCAAGGTCATCCTGTGGGAACTGTGGCGCCAGGGCCCCTGAACACCCTCCTGTCCTCCGAGTCGAGTCGCTCCATCTGCCTCCTAAACGGGCTTCGGGAGGAAGGCCCGCGTGTCTCCTCAAGGTGAGGAGCTACTGATGTAAACTCCCTGCAAGGACCTGAGCTGGGGCCGTGGCTACTGCCTTCCCTGAGAATGGGCCACCTGCAGCGAGGTCTGTGAACCCGTCTCAGGTTCGACTCCTGACTTAATTCCTAACAGGGGAAGCTGCTGTCCTGTAACTCCTGGGGAGGGGGTTTCATTTGTTCCACCTGCAGCGAGTTCTGTGAGCCCGTCTCAGGTTTGACTCCTGTCTTAATTCCTAACGGGGGAAGCTGCTGTCCTGTAACTCCGGGGGAGGGGTTTTCATTTGTTCCACCTGCAGTGAGGTTAGCCCCTCTCAGGTTTGACTCCTGACTTAATTCCTAAGAGAGGGGAAGCTGCTGTCCTGTAACTCCGGGGGAGGGGGTTTCATCTGCTCCACCTGCAGGGCGAATGGTGCTCTCACCTCACACGTGACACTTGGCCCTTTCTGCATTATGGTGGTGACCACTGATGACCGTATACCTGGCCGTCGAGTGACCGGCTGTGCTGTCTTACAGGTCAGTGTGGGGCCGGAAACAACTGGGCCAAGGGACGCTACACCGAAGGCGCGGAGCTGACGGAGTCAGTGATGGACGTTGTCAGAAAGGAGGCTGAGAGCTGTGACTGCCTGCAGGGTTTCCAGCTGACCCACTCCCTGGGTGGGGGGACTGGGTCTGGGATGGGTACCCTTCTCATTAGTAAGATCTGGGAGGAGTACCCAGACAGGATTATAAACACATTGAGCATCCTGCTCTTGCCCAAGGTGTCAGACACCGTGGTGGAGCCCTACAACGCCACCCTCTCAGTCCACCAGCTCATAGAAAACGCAGATGAGACCTTCTGCATAGATAACGAAGCGCTATATGACATATGTTCCAGGACCCTAAAACTGCCCACACCCACCTATGGTGACCTGAACCACCTGGTGTCTGCTACCATGAGTGGGGTCACCACGTGCCTGTGCTTCCCCGACCAGCTGAATGCTGACCTGCGGAAGCTGGCCATGAACATGGTCCCGTTTCCCCGGCTGCATTTCTTCATGCCCGGCTTTGCCCCACTGACCAGCCGGGGCAGCCAGCAGTACCGGGCCTTGACTGTGGCTGAGCTCACCCAGCAGATGTTTGATGCTAAGAACATGATGGCTGCCCGTGACCCCCGTCACGGCCGCTACCTAACGGCGGCTGCCATTTTCCAGGGTCGCATGCCCATGAGGGAGGTGGATGAACAGATGTTCAACATTCAAGATAAGAACAGCAGCTACTTTGCTGACTGGTTCCCCAACAACGTAAAAACAGCCGTCTGTGACATCCCACCCTGGGGGCTAAAAATGTCAGTCACCTTCACTGGGAACAACACAGCCGTCCAGGAACTCAAGCGGGTCTCAGAGCAGTTTACAGCAACGTTCAGGCGCAAGGCCTTCCTCCACTGGTACACGGGCGAGGGCATGGATGAGATGGAATTCACTGAGGCCGAGAGCAACATGAACGACTTGGTGTCTGAATATCAGCAATATCAGGATGCCACGGCCGAGGGAGGAGGAGTATGAGGAGGAGGAGGTGGCCTAGAACTCTCCTTTTCTAGGTAAAGGGGGGAAGCAGTGTGGATCCTTCACTGTGTTCTGACAGCCATGTGTCACTATGCGCTCGTTCATTTGTGTCTTCACATCTCCTGCTGCATTTTAAAGCATTTTTATAGTATGCGGTTTTGCCTAATAAAGTATTCTCACAGCATCTGGTTTCACCTCCAACTTCTATGGGCCCTCTGGCTACTGCTGCCAGATGTGCACAGTTGTCCTGCAAGGCGGAAGCTGTCTGGGTTCATCACATGCCCAGGAACAAGCATTCCAGTGGCTCTAGGAGGGCTCGGCATGGGCTGTGGACATGGCAGGCAGGCGCCACATGAACTTGGGGATGCCCTGGGCCTTGGGCAGCGACGTGGTGGAAAGCCTGTTCCTGAAGAAAAGCCTTGGCTTATCCCATGTACCAAACTTTTAGGGGACCAGTTGGCCATGTGTCTGGAACTTTAAAAGGGCTCAGCGACCCTGGTGGACAATGTCCCCAAAGTCCCATCTCGGGGTAGGAATGTGGTCAGACAGCTGGCTCTGAACCAGCAATGAAGGGTGGGCAAGTGGGACCCCAGGCACTCCATCACCAAGACGGTCTGGGTGTGTTTGTGTGGCCTCATTCTCTTCACGAGGTGGGCATGGGGTATCTGGCAGGGACTAGGCAGGAATCGAGCCCAGTGTCTGCTAACATGCACTGAACCCTATGTAGAGGGGGATTAGGTCCTGGGGGTCGTATATGGTGGTTGCTGGGCCTGTGTGCTCAGGGCAGTCTCTCCAAAGGCACAGATGGGGTTTCTGAACAGGACCTGGGAAGACAGGCAGGTGCTCACAAATGCTGCTTCCCCCAACTGGCAACCAGTGAGAAAAACGCCCAAGTGGAGGTCTGACCTGCCCCAGTCTGGAGGGCTGATGCTCTCTGGAAAGATGGGTGATGTGCAGTGTCTGCTGTCTCCCTGTCCCCCACTCCAAAACCTCAGAGCAAAGATAATCCAAGATTGCCAGGATGAGCCTGGTGAGGGTGGCACCTTTTTAGGGATAGGCCCTTCAGACTGGCAGAGTCTCCTCCCCAAGCTTCTCGGGGAGCCTGGACTGCAAAGCCCGCTTTGGGGAAGCTGTCAAATAAGAGGTGTGTGTGTGAGCTGGGTGCTGGGCAGCAAGCACGGACAGGGCTCTTCTCCCTGGCTCTTGTAGAACTTGTCCATGGTCTGTGTGATGACCCCTTGGTAATTCCCACCGCCACCATCACACAGATAAGATGAAGCCAGCACAGCCTGGGGGTGGGCAGATGAACAGGTTCTACCCCAGGTCCCCTGGGAATGTCCATCTGCCTCCGACGTGTCAGGGAAAACAGGTGAGGCCCCTTCTTGTTCTCTGAATGTTGTCAATGGTCTATTGCAGCCAAATGGGAACAGACAGGCAGCAGAGTGTCTCATCTCGAAAGAAGTGGCTCCTGGAAGCAGCTGGGAGGTGGGAGAGGTTCCCCACACTCCCCCAACCTCCCCCACACTCCCCCAACCTCCCCCACACTTCCCCAACCTCCCCCAACCTCCCCCAACCTCCCCCACACTCCCCCACACTCCCCCACACTCCCCCACACTCCCCCACACTCCTCCCCCACACTTCCCCACACTCCCCCACACTCCCCCACACTCCCCCAACCTCCCCCACACTCCCCCACACTTCCCCAACCTCCCCCAACCTCCCCCAACCTCCCCCACACTCCCCCACACTTCCCCAACCTCCCCCAACCTCCCCCACACTCCCCCACACTCCCCCACACTCCCCCACACTCCCCCAGCCTGTTCTAGGAGCAGGAAAAGGGGACTCTGTGACAGCCCCCCTCAGTGGCCCTCACTCTCTGAGGGGTGTCCTTGCCCAATCCAGGTGCACACCCATCTGAGATGGTCTTGCATGGACCTGCTTGGGAAGGTTCAGCTGCAGCAATCACTGGAACCTGCCCACACCTGGTGTCTCCACTCACGTGTGGACCTGGATGTTCCTCCCTCTCATAGTGGTACAGCCAGAGGCAGAGGGGGCAAGTCACTGCTGCAGTTCCCACCTGGGTCTGAGGAGGGCGTCAGGCTTGGTGCCCATGTATTTCCCAATTACCTGGTTCCATGTGGGGGCTTCATGGACAGGAGTGGTGCTTTTCCAGGCCTCTTTTCCACATGCCAGCTACAGGCCCAGGTTTCCCAAGTTTCTGGAGCCCCTCTTCCAGCCTGGCAAGCATGGCGTGTTGTAGGGGAAGGACATGAAGCCTACAGGCAGCAGAACCTGTCTGGGTATGTTCTCCACCCCTGGAGGTCCCTGGTTGTTTACCTCTTTGGGTGAGAGTCGGCTTACGATCTCAGCATTCTTGTAGGACTCCAGAACTGTACAGACAGGGGCCCAGGAGGCAGCAGGGGCTCGGACTGGCAGCTAACCAGTGTAGTGGGGGTTGTAGGGCTTGGTTTAGTCTTGCAGGGAATTCAGGGAAGCTTGGATTTGCTGAAGCTCTAGACGAGCTTGGGCTGGGATATGGAAACAGCATGGAGCCGGGGCCTTTCTGCACGCTGGAGTCTGAGTAGTTGCACCCTGGTGCAGCCATAGGTGTTCCCCACCTGGAGCACAGCTGTGGATAGAAGCTGGGAGAGCTGTGGAGGGAAGAGGAGGAGGAGGAGGGAGTCTCAGGGCAGTCCCAGCAGCCAGGCAGGGCCTCTGCAAGTGAGATGCAGATCCAGCCTGTTGGCCACTTAGCAGCTGCTTGGCTGGCTGCAGATCACCTGACCTCTGCTCACCAGTAAATGGGGGTTGCAGTTAGCACTTACCTTCTGGGGTTTCTGCAGCTTGAAGGGGCAGCACACACCATGTGCTGAGAAAGCGCCGAACTCAGGCAAGCTTTTCCAAGAGCACCACATCAGATTAACATCCAACCTGTACAGAATACCATCAAATCTCCCCACCCCTCATTCCAATGGAAGAAAAGGGAATCTCTGTCCTAGGGGGAGCAAGCACAGGCCTATCTATGCAGTCGGCACATGGCACAGGTGGGGAAAAGGCCCTTGGATACGTGCTGGTTTCACCAACCATCTGTAGGTTGGGTTTGGCCTGGACCCCTGCACCCCAGGAGGCCGGCAGCCCCCCTGCACCCCAGGAGGCCGGCAGCCCCCCTGCACGGTACAGGACTGGGAGGTGGGTGGGAGGGCTGAGCTTTGAGGGAAGCCATTATTTGGCCTCATGGGAAGTGGTGCAGGTGGTTGTTGGTGGCTCAGTTTTGCAGGACCTGGGTGATCACCCAAGGAGTGAAAATTGTCTTTTTATGAGAAATTGCCAAAATTGATGCAAGCTCATCAGTTGAAAAGGTGAGTAATGCTGACAGTTGGCTTCACGTGCCCCTTCCCCACAAGTAACTGGTGTTCAGAGGTGGATTTGGTTCCTTCCCAGCCTTTCCCGTTTGCATGTAGCTGTGTGCATGTACTTTGTGTACACACAAACATGTTCCCTGGAGGGGTTACTTTTATTTTTTTATTTGGGGGGATAACTAGTGAGGCAGCCTGACACTTGCTTATCTTGTCTTTTAAGTGTGGAGTCCTCTATGGAGTGGGCATCAGGTACTTACTAGCTGGCCTCTGCCAGCTGTTTGGCTGCCCCCGTTTCTGCCCTTCACAGACATGCTGGCCACCTGGTGTGACATGCAGTGGCCTTGTTTGCAGCTAGTGTGATGAGACAAGTGGATCAGGTACATTGTAAACTGAAAAAGCACACAACATGCAGAGGGAAAGGATAAATGACCATGAGGGTACTGCTCTGCTGAAGTCCACATCACATGACTGAGATGACATTTTTTCACCTAACATTTGGGCCCTGAGAAAAGGCATTTGTTTTACTTTTTATTTATAACAGAATTAGAAGAAATACTACCAGGCTTTCTTTTCCATTATCCTCAACTCCCACTTAAACCCCTCAAGTTTACCTACCTCAGAGAGAAAGTGGAGCTCGCCTGATTGAGAGCCTGAAATTATTTGAGCCAGGTCACTGTGTAAAGGTCAGACTGCTTCCATCTCCTTGTGCATCACTTGCGCAGCTCAGATATTTCATGGCTCCCTGTATACAGGTAGCTGTGTTACCCTCCTAGCCGCTTTCTTGGTTTGATACATGCCTGGGAGCATGTGGGAGCAGTTAAGGTCTGGGCTCATGGGAGGACAGTTCTGCCCACCCCAGCTCATCTCTCCAGCTCAGCCTGCATACCTGCCTTCCTCCATCTGATTCCAGAGTAGGGGATGGGAGGTCTCACACTGACCTCAAGTTTATGTGACTTTTTCCATCTCTGCTTTCCCAGACAGCCCTTGCTGTGGGACTTGTAAGGAGATTTGTGAAGTCAGTATCTACTTTTCTTGTGTGGGTGTTTATAAATTATTCCCCTGGAGGGGAATAAATGTTAGAGGTACTCCAAACCCCTAACATGTAAACATCTAAGCCTGGCCCTTTTTTGGTGGTAAAATATACACAACATAAAACTTACCATTTTAACCATGTTTAAATGTACAGTTCTGTGGCATCCAGTATATTCAGTGTTGTCCAACCATCTAGTTTATCTAATTTATCCATATCTACAACTTCTTTATCATCCTAAAATCAAACACCATTCCCATGAAGAAGTCACTGAATAGAAGACTGATGTATTTGACTCCATAAAAATTGAAACTTTGTGTGAGAGAAAAATGCCTCTAAGTCAAAAGTCAACAGACTGGGGAAATAGATCTGCCACATACATGACAGACAAAAAGCTAATTTGGGATATATACATACATATGGGTATATGTAAATATCCATTTTAAACACCATTCAAAAAATACCATCGTTTCCCATTGAATAGTGTTGACTCCTGTGTTAAAAATCATGACCATATTTTTTGGTTCTTTATTTCTATCGCATTGGTCTTTGTCTCTGTCTCTATGCTGGTACAAGTTTTGGGTACTGAAGCATTGCAGTAAGTTTGAAACCAGGAGGTGTTAGTCCTCTAACTTTGTTAGTTTTTAAGATTGATTTGGCTACTTGGGATTTTTTGAGATTTCATCTGAATTTTAGAATAGGTTTTTCTATTTTTGCAAATATTGGAATTTTTATAGTGATTTTATTGAATCTGTAGATGACTATAGATAACAATGGCATCTTGACAAGGTTTTGTCTTCCAGTCCATAAACACATGATGTCTTTTCATTTATTTGTCATCTTTAATACGTTCATGCCATGTTTATAGTTTTTGCTGTACAGGTTTTTCATTTTCTTGGTTAAGTGGGTTTCTAAGTATTTTATTCTTTTGATGCTATCATACATGATACTGTTGTCTTGATTTCTTCTTCAGATAGTTTATTGTTATTGTAGAAATACAACTGATTTTTGTGTATTGATTTTGTATCCTGCAGCTTTGCTGAATTTTGTTTATTGTATCTGACAGTTTATTTCACAGAAACCAAAAGATTTTTAATATATAAGGTTATGTCATCTGCAAACAGATAATTTTACTTTTAAAAAAATTGGAATATCTTTTATTCTTTTACTCATGTTTTAACTAACTAGAATCCTCAGTACTATATTAAACAGAAGTAGTAAAAGCAGGCATCCTTGTTTTTGCTCTTAGGGTAAAAGCTTTCAGTCTTTCACCACATTAGCTGTGTTTTTGTTTTTTGTATGACATTATGTTAAAGTGTTTTCTTTCTTTTTATAGTTTATTAAGTACATTTTATCATGAATGTGGGTTAAATTTTGACAAATGCTTTTTCTTCTTTGATTAAAATGTGATCACATGAGGCTTTTTTCCTTCTTTATGTTAATGTGATATTACGCTGATTTTCATGTGTTGGAATATACTTTTATTTCAGGAGTCAATTATACTCATTCATAGTGTATAATCCTTTTAGTGTACTGCTAAGTTTGAGTTGCTGGTATTTTGTTGAGGATTTTTGCATCAGCATTTGTAAGGGATGTTTGTTTGTAGTTTTCTTATGGTGCCTTTGTCTGGCTTGGTGTCAAGGTAATACTGGCCTCATAGAATAAGTTAGAAAACATTACCTCCTCTTCAACGTTTTGAAAAAGTTTGAGAAAAACTGGTGTTAATTCTGCTTTAAACGTTGGGTAGAATTCAACAGTGAAGCCATCTGGTCCAGGCTTTTCTTTGTTGCTGGGTTTTTGATTACTTATGCCATCTTCCTGCTGAATCTCCTTGCTGAATAGGTTTATTCAACTTTTCTGATTCAGTCTTAGTAGGTTTTTTGTTTCTAGGAATTTGTTCATTTTATTTAGGTTATTCAATTTTTTAGTGTATAGTTCCTTATGGTACTCTCCTACATCCTTTTTTTACTCCAAAAATTTGTTAGTAATGTACCCATTTTTCTTCTGAGTTTCGTAATTTGAGTATTCCCTTTTTTTCTTAGTCAATCTAGATAAAATTTTTGTCAGTTTTGATCTTTTCCAGAGAATAAACTTGGTTTTGTTGATTTTTGATATTGCTTTTCTGTTCTCTATTTCACTTATTTCCACTGCTATCTTTATCATTTTTAAAATTTTGCTAGCTTTTAGTTGTCCCTCTTTTTCCCTCTGTTTTTAGTTCCTTAGGAGTAAAGTTGTTGATTCAGTATCTTATGTTTTATAATCATTTATAGCTATAAATTTTTCCCTCATGGTACTGTTTTTGATGTATCTCTTAACTTCTGGTATTTCATCCAGTTTTCTCTCCATCCTTTATTTGATACATGAACAAATTACATGAGTGAAGAACACCACTGTGTCTTCTTAAATAACTTTTCAACTTCAGTAAGTCATGCAAGGATCAAATGTGAGAGAAATAGAGAACCTCAGGATCAACTCAAGTATTTGGAAAAAAGTACTGAAAAATGAGGTGGGGTGGTTTCCAAACTGACCTGCTCAGCATCGAAGGGATTCTTGTTTCTTAAGGAAGCCATGCAGTTTTATCAGCTTAAAAGTGAGTGGTTGGTAAAAATTTTTTTCTTTTAAACTTACTTTTTGAAACTTCTTATTTGTGGACTGTGGTTTGTTAGAATAGTGATTATTTTGTTTTTATGAGATGTTTATTGTATTTTTATCTTTTTTTTTTAAGGCAGAGTCTTGCTCTGTCACCCAGGCTGGAGTACAGTGGCTCGATCTCAGTTCACTGCAACCTCCACCTCCCAGGTTCAAGCGATTCTCCTGCCTCAGCCTCCCGAGTAGCTGGGATTACAGGCGCCCACCACCACACCCAGCTAATTTTTGTATTTTCAGTAGAGATGAGGTTTCACCCTGTCGGCCAGGCTGGTCTCAAACTCCTGACCTCAAGTGATCCACCCGCCTCAGTCTCCCAAAGTGCTGGGATTACAGGTGTGAGCCACTGTGCCCAGCGTGTTTCTTGTGTTTGATGATGAAAATCTGTTATTGACAGTAAGAGGATGGGGGCTCAGGTTAGCAACAGGGTGTTAGAAAAGCAGCAGTAAAATTTTGGTTCTCAAAACATTTGATGTCTTATTCCTTTTTTTGAACATGGGTTTTGCTAAAAAAAAAAAAGGCCAGCCATTTTGAAACTTGATTTTATTGTCACGTTCTCATTTTGAAATTCATCTTATGGTTTGTATGAATTGGCAGCCGTCTGTGGGAAATTTCAGTTTTGCATATTTTCAGATTATTTTCATTTTTACATCAGATTTTGAACAGATGCTATACAAAAGTATTCATTTATTTATTCAACAAAATTTAGTGCTGGTTATGTTGCAAGCACTTAGTGAACTTCATGCTGTACGTGCCTCACATACTTTTGCGAATGTAATGGCAACATCAAAACCTTTGCCCTTATGCACCTTATAAACCTTTAATTTCAAGGCATATTGATGAGCGGGCATCTGCTATAACGTGCTTTCATGGTCATTTAATTCACCATTATTTGGGTATACCTTATATTGAAGCTGATTACTGAAAATTGGAAACTATTTAAACATATCTGTGTCTTGCCTTTTTCCTTAACATATGTAGATCAAGGAGTCACTGAGGATCAATTTTAGGGATAGTTATAAAAATCTTAACTTTGCGACTATAACTTTGTCCTCAATGTAATAACTGCAAAAAATAATTTACATTTCAAAGGCTTTAATCTTTGTGCTTTTTTGAAAAGGAGCCTTCACCGAGATTCTTTAAAAATTCTTGCTCTTACAGTAGAGCATTTTAAGCTCATGGATATGGTCCTCTAATGGATCTGTACCCCCTCAGTTCTCTGGTTGTCGCCCTCCTGTGGTGAAAATTAAAGCTTATTTTCATTTCACGTCTAGGATGCAGTACGTTCTTATTGGGGAAAAAATGATGTTGCTGAGAAACAAGTGCCTTCAGTATCACTGTGTGTCACTTAATAAATATGACTAATATCTACTTTTACCAATGGCTGCAATTTGATGCTTAAACAGCCATCTTTAAATTATACTTTTTCTTTGGTTAAAGAAAAATAATTATAATAGATATTAATTATTTTTACCTAATTTTCTTATGTGGACTGCCATTCTTAGAACTAAAACTTTCAGATGTTTATATTACAAGTACAATTATTATTTATTTTTATTATTAGTGTCATCTTTTTTTTTCTGTAGCCAAATGTAATCAACTCCCTTCCTTTCACTTCCTTTTTTGAATCAGAATATTACACTTATACAAGCAAGAGCAACAGCTCTATATCCAGATCACTGCAGTGCTTAGAAGATACAACAGCACAATTTACAGATCCAAATTTCCAGGAAGTCTCTGCACACACCTCTAGTACAAAAGATGCTTCAGAGACTAGAGGGTCAGAGGGCAAAGAGAGGAAATATTCAACTCCCAGCTCAGGTCAAAAGGGAAGAAAGCCTGGTGTTAAAAGAAATCCAAGAAGGACTGTGTCTGCAACTCGCCCCTTTCTGTAAAGTATTCATGGTGTTTTAGTTAAAATGTTTGTTCTTATGATGGTCAAATAATATTAATAGTTATGCTTTGTAAAAGAATTTATTCTTATAATTAATGGATCGTTCTAAATTATTATACGTTTAGTTGCTATAGTAAGATGATGTCAAAGATTTGTTGCCTGTTAAATGTTTCTGGGATCTTTGCTTTATTTTCATATTATGATCTGTGCTTCCAAAGTTGAGTGGTAATTTTATTGTTTATACAAATGTAAAATAAAGCTTAAGTTTGGGGAGAAAAATAAAAGCTAGAGTTTTCCTTTCAGCTCTATAGAACAGTCATTCATTTCTATAAATGTTCTTTATATAGATTTCCTAGTTCCACATTTAAAAATAAATATGGGGATCTACACAGGTCTCAGTAAATAATAGTTGTTGATTAATAATGCATTTATTATAAAGCTTGAAGTTTAAAGTAGAATTTTGCTCAGCCTACATATCTTTTATGGTCAGGCTGCTATAATTATGTAATACCCAGTTAAATTTCAATTTCAGATAAACAAAGAATAAGTTTTAGTATAAGCATATCCCAAATATTGCATGGGGTATACTTACACTGAAAAAAGTATTTGTTTATCTGAAATTTAAAATTAACTGGGCATGCTATATTTTCTGTGGCAACCCTGTTTTATAGAGAGCAGAGTAAGTCAGCTAAATTTTAGAATACTTTAACCTGGTGTTCTAGGTCTTTCCTTTTTGTAATTATTATTATTATCTGGAGTCAGGGTCATGCTCCATCACTTAGGCTGGAGTGCAGTGGCACAATCACAGTGCCCTGCAGCCTTGAGCTTCTGGGCTCAAGTGATTCTGGCACCTCTGCCTTTGCCTCCCAAGTAGCTAGTACCACAGGTACGTGGGCCCAGCTAATTTTTTTTTTTTTTTTTTTTTTTCCCCGTAGAGACAGGGTCTCAGGGTGGTCTGGAACTCCTGGGCTCAAGCAATCCTCCCACCTCTGCCTTCACTTCCCAAATAGCTGAGACCACCGGCACATACCACCACCATACCCAGCTTATTTTTTATCAGGTTGGTGCAAGAGGAATTGTGGGTTTTGCCATTGAAAGTAATGGCAAAACCTGCAATTACTTTTTGTATCACCCTAATAATTTTTTGTGGAGACAAGGTCTTGTCCTGTTGTCTAGGCTGGTTTCCAAGTCCTGGACTCGAGTGACCCTCCTGCCTTGGCCTCTCAAAGTGCTGGGATTACAGATGGGAGCCACTGTACCAAGCTACTTTGTATAATTTTTAACATAAATGTAAATGTTTTGAGAACTAGAAATGTTAAAACCCTTGGAGGAAAATGTAAAGTATACAATAGAAAAAAAAATACAAAAAATTATCAATTTTCAGAGGAACAAAAAATATCCAGTTTTTACAATCTTCAGGATTCAATCCCATTATATCAAACATACCAAGAAACATATTCAAAGAAAAAGGCAATCAATCGAGACTGACCTCGAGACGACCGAGATGTTGGAATTAGTATGGATTTTTTAAAGTAGTTATTATAATTCTTACTAAAATCAAAACCCCAAAAACTCTTATAATAAATGGATAGAAAATCACAGCAGAGAAGAAGAAACTACAGTAATAACAAAGCCTCAAGTGGAAATTCTAGAAGTGAAAAATTTTTCAAAATTAAAAAATAATAGTTGTGTTCAGGAGCAGCTTGGAGGTGGTAAAGAGTCAACCTTAAAATACAATTGAAATTATTCAATCTGAAAAATGTGAGCAGTCACGGGTTGAGGTGAGGGAGTTTTCCTTTGGTTAGTGCTTTTAGGTAATCTTGGTTTTTTTTTTTTTTTTATTGATCATTCTTGGGTGTTTCTCGCAGAGGGGGATTTGGCCGGGTCACAGGACAATAGTGGAGGGAAGGTCAGCAGATAAACAAGTGAACAAAGGTCTCTGGTTTTCCTAGGCAGAGGACCCTGCGGCCTTCCGCAGTGTTTGCGTCCCTGGGTACTTGAGAGTAGGGAGTGGTGATGACTCTTAACGAGCATGCTGCCTTCAAGCATCTGTTTAACAAAGCACATCTTGCACCGCCCTTAATCCATTCAACCCTGAGTGGACACAGCACATGTTTCAGAGAGCAAGGGGTTGGGGGTAAGGTCACAGATCAACAGGATCCCAAGGCAGAAGAATTTTTCTTAGTGCAGAACAAAATGAAAAGTCTCCCATGTCTACTTCTTTCTACCCAGACACAGCAACCATCCGATTTCTCAATCTTTTTGATAAGATTACTAGATTGATCTGTCAGGGGCATGCTAAGCCAGAATTTATCTTGGTTTCAGTAGTGCTTTAAACAAAACTCATGATACCCTTGTGTTCAAGACAGAAGAAGAGTGGGCCAAATTAAATATTTAGATGCAGTCATTCTTAACCTCTGTTGCTCTCCCAGTGGTCTAGCTGGGGTTTGTATAAAGTGGAATGGGAGGAACAGGGAAGGAGCCCCCACCTACCCTCTCCCCTTGTCCACTTGTCCTCCTTGACTAGTGGATAAAGTCCACGGGAACAGGCAAGTTATTTTCAATCTGTATCTTCTGTTAAGATCTGTAATCAGTTCTGCTTGCTGGACTGGGGACAGGAACCGAGGGAACATGAGGGTGAACGAGGTGACATGGAGTCCAGGAGCACACTGTGCCTACATGCAGAATGTTTGTGCCAGGAAAGCCAGCAGCAGGCAGATGGTCTCAGATAGCAAGCTAGTGTTGGGAAGCAAGATTCAGTCTCTTGAAGGCGTGTTCCTCAGTGTGTGGTTTGTATCACTTGCTTCAGAATGACCTGGAGTACTTGTTAAAATGCAAATTTTCAGCCCAATCCTAGACCTCCTAAGCCTGCATCTCTACGGATGGGTCTCAGTAGTCGATATTGGAAACGGGCAGGTCCCTAGGAGATGCTTATGCATATAAATTTGAAATGTGTTTAAGGTTTAGGGAGCTGGCAAAAGCAAGGAATAGACCAAGCCCTTGGGTGGGAAGCCTCCACAACGTTGGCACTATTAGCATTCGGGGCGGAAGAGGATTCTGCCACATGCTTCGCAGCATCCCTAGCCTCTACCCTCTAACACCGTATCCCAGTTGTGAAAACCAAAAATGTCCCCTGGGAGGCAAAATAGTCACTAGTTGGGAACCGAAACCACTGCTTTGTATCAGAGTAGTTACTTTGTTCCTAATCCAAGGATCAGAACACACGATGAGAGAAAGTCTAGCTATGGGAACTGGAGTGCCAAGTTGGAGCTAGACCTACAACAAAAGCACCAAAAGCTCCTTTATAGGGCTGATTCCGTGCCTCAGCTACCTAGCTTGTACAAATGCCATGTAACTCTAGATTTGATGACAGAAGGCATTTAAAGGCTAGAACTAGTTAGGGTCTTTCAGATTAGGCCAGCACACAACGTGGACTTTTGACAACATCCAGATGCTTGAACCAAACTCAGTCCTGAGGCAGAATTTCCCGTGGCATCTGATACACAGCCTGGATTTGGAGCACTCACTAGGATTAGATGCCATGGGAATATTGTGTTTAGGAACTCTGAAAGAGACAGGCTTCAACAAAGCAGACCTAAGCAACACGTAGCGTCTTAACTTTTTTTTTTTTTTAACAGAAATGTTCAGAGCACCTTTATTTGTAATAGCCTAGAACTAGAAACAACCCAGATATCCTCCAATGACTGAATGGTTAAACAAACTGTTCTATATCGCCACTATGGAATTTTTTTTTTCTTTATTGTACTTTAAGTTTTAGGGTACATGTGCACAACGGGCAGGTTTGTTACATACGTATACATGTGCCATGTTGGTGTGCTGCACACATTAACTCTTCATTTAACATTAGTTATATCTCATATCGCTATCTCTCCCCCCTCCCCTGACCCCACAGCAGGCCCTGGTGTGTGATGTTCCCCTTCCTGTGTCCAAGTGTTCTCATTGTTCAATTCCCACCAATGAGTGAGAACATGCTGTGTTTGGTTTTTTGTCCTTGCAATAGTTGGCTGAGAATGATGGTTTCCAGCTTCATCCATGTCCCTACAAAGGACATGAACTCATCATTTTTCGTGGCTGCATAGTATTCCATGGTGTATATGTGCCACATTTTCTCAATCCAGTCAATCATTGTTAGACATTTGGGTTGGTTCCAAGTCTTTGCTATTGTGAATAGTGCCACAATAAACATATGTGTGCATGTGTCTTTATAGCAGCATGTTTTATAATCCTTTGGGTATATACCCAGTAATGGGATGGCTGGGTCAAATGGTATTTCTAGTTCTAGATCCCTGAGGAACCACCACACGGACTTCCACAATGGTTGAACTAGTTTACAGTCCCACCAACAGTGTAAAAGTGTTCCTATTTCTCCACATCCTCTCCAGCACCTGTTGTTTCCTGACTTTTTAATGATCACCATTCTAACTGGTGTGAGATGGTATCTCATTGTGGTTTTGATTTGCATTTCTCTGATGGCCAGTGATGATGAGCATTTTTTCATGTGTCTGTTGGCTGCATAAATGTCTTCTTTTGAGAAGTGTCTGTTCATATCCTTTGCCCACTTTTTGATGGGATTGTTTGTTTTTTTTCTTGTAAATTTGAGTTCATTGTAGATTCGGGATATTAGCCCTTTGTCAGATGAGTAGATTGCAAAAATTTTCTCCCATTCTGTAGGTTGCCTGTTCACTCTGATGGTAGTTTCTTTTGCTGTGCAGAAGCTCTTTAGTTTAATTAGATCCCATTTGTCAATCTTGGCTTTTGTTGCCATTGCTTTTGGTGTTTTAGACATGAAGTCCTTGCCTATGCCTATGTCCTGAATGGTATTGCCTAGGTTTTCTTCTAGGGTTTTTATGGTTTTAGGTCTAACATTTAAGTCTTTAATCCATCTTGAATTAATTTTTGTATAAGGTGTAAGGAAGGGATCCAGTTTCAGCTTTCTACATATGTCTGGCCAGTTTTCCCAGCACCATTTGTTAAATAAGGAATCCTTTCCCCATTGCTTGTTTTTGTCAGGTTTGTCAAAGATCAGATGGTTGTAGACATGTGGCATTATTTCTGAGGGCTCTATTCTGTTCCATTGTTCTATATCTCTGTTTTGGTACCAGTACCATGCTGTTTTGGTTACTGTAGCCTTGTAGTATAGTTCGAAGTCAGGTAGCATGATGCCTCCAGCTTTGTTCTTTTGGCTTAGGATTGACTTGGCAATGCAGGCTCTTTTTTGATTCCATATGAACTTTAAAGTATTTTTTTCTATTTCTGTGCAGAAAGTCATTGGTAGCTTGATGGGGATGGCATTGAATCTATAAATTACCTTGGGCAGTATGGCCATTTTCACGGTATTGATTCTTCCTACCAATGAGCATGGAATGTTCTTCCATTTGTTTGTATCCTCTTTTATTTCATTGAGCAGTGGTTTGTATTTCTCCTTAAAGAGGTCCTTCATGTCCCTTGTAAGTTGGAGTCCTAGGTATTTTATTCTCTTTGAAGCAGTTGTGAATGGGAGTTCACTCATGATTTGGCTCTCTGTTAGTCTATTATTGGTGTATAAGAATGCTTGTGATTTTTGCACATTGATTTTGTATCCTGAGACTTTGCTGAAGTTGCTTATCAGCTTAAGCAGATTTTGGGCTGAGATGATGGGGTTTTCTAGATACACAATCATGTCATCTGCAAACAGGGACAATTTGACTTCCTCTTTTCATAATTGAATACCCTTTATTTCCTTCTCCTGCCTGATTGCCCTGGCCAGAACTTCCAACACTATGTTGAATAGGAGTGGTGAGAGAGGGCATCCCTGTCTTGTGCTGGTTTTCAAAGGGAATGCTTCCAGTTTTTGCCCATTCAGTATGCTATTGGCTGTGGGTTTGTCATAGATAGCTCTTACTATTTTGAGATATGTCCCATCAATACCTAATTTTTTGAGAGTTTTTAGCATGAAGGTTTGTTGAATTTTGTCAAAGGCCTTTTCTGCATCTATTGAGATAATCATGTGGTTTTTGTCATTGGTTCTGTTTATATGCTGGATTACATTTATTGATTTGCATATGTTGAGCCAGCCTTGCATCCCAGGGATGAAGCCCACTTGATCATGGTGGATAAGCTTTTTGATGTGCTGCTGGATTCGGTTTGCCAGTATTTTATTGAGGATTTTTGCATCGATGTTTATCAGGGATATTGGTCTAAAATTCTCTTTTTTTGTTGTGTCTCTGCCAGGCTTTGGTATCAGGATGATGCTGGCCTCATAAAATGAGTTAGGGAGGATTCCCTCTTTTTCTATTGATTGGAATAGTTTCAGAAGGAATGGTATGAGCTCCTCCTTGTACCTCTGGTAGAATTAGGCTGTGAATCCATCTGGTCCTGGCCTTTCTTCGGTTGGTAAGCTGTTAATTATTGCCTCAATTACAGAGCCTGTTATTGGTCTATTCAGAGATTCAAGTTCTTCCTGGTTTAGTCTTGGGAGGGTGTATGTGTCCAGGAATTTATCCATTTCTTCTAGATTGTCTAGTTGATTTGCGTAGAGGTGTTTATAGTATTCTCTGATGGTAGTTTGTATTTCTGTGGGATCAGTGGTGATATCCCCTTTATCATTTTTTATTGCACCTATTTGATTCTTCTCTCTTTTCTTCATTAGTCTTGCTAGCAGTCTATCAATTTTGTTGATCTTTTCAAAAAACCAGCTCCTGGATTCATTGAGTTTTTGAAGGGTTTTTTGTGTCTATTTCCTTCAGTTCTGCTCTGATCTTAGTTATTTCTTGCCTTCTGCTAGCTTTTGTATGTGTTTGCTCTTCTCTAGTTCTTTTAATTGTGATGTTAGGGTGTCAATTTTAGATCTTTCCTGCTTTCTCTTGTGGGCATTTAGTGCTATAAATTTCCCTCTACACACTGCTTTGAATGTGTCTCAGAGATTCTGGTATGTTGTGTCTTTGTTCTCGTTGGTTTCAAAGAACATCTTTATTTCTGCCTTCATTTCGTTATGTACCCAGTAGTCATTCAGGAGCAGGTTGTTCAGTTTCCATGTAGTTGAGCAGTTTTGAGTGAGTTTCTTAATCCTGAGTTCTAGTTTGATTGTACTGTGGTCTGAGAGACAGTTTGTTATAATTTCCGTTCTTTTACATTTGCTAAGGAGTGCTTTACTTCCAACTATGTGGTCAATTTTGGAAGAGGTGTGGTGTGGTGCTGAAAAGAATGTATATTCTGTTGATTTGGGGTGGAGAGATCTGTAGATGTCTACTAGATCTGCTTGGTGCAGAGCTGGGTTCAATTCCTGGATATCCTTGTGAACTTTCTGTCTTGTTGATCTGTCTAATGTTGACAGTGGGGTGTTAAAGTCTCCCATTATTATTGTGTGGGAGTCTAAGTCTCTTTGTAGGTCTCTAAGGACTTGCTTTATGAATCTGGGTGCTCCTGTATTGGGTGCATATATATTTAGGATAGTTAGTTCTTCTTGTTGAATTGATCCCTTTACCATTATGTAATGGCCTTGTCTCTTTTGATCTTTGTTGGTTTAAAGTCTGTTTTATCAGATACTAGGATTGCAACCCCTGCCTTTTTTTTTCCATTTGCTTGGTAGATCTTCCTCCATCCCTTTATTTTGAGCCTATGTGTGTCTCTGCATGTGAGATGGGTTTCCTGAGTACAGCACACTGATGGGTCTTGACTCTATCCAATTTGCCAGTCTCTCTCTTTTAATTGGAGCATTTAGCCCATTTACATTTAAGGTTAATATTGTTATGTGTGAATTTGATCCTGTCATTATGATATTAGCTGGTTATTTTGCTCATTAGTTGATGCAGTTTCTTCCTAGCCTCGATGTTCTTTACAATTTGGCATGTTTTTGCAGTGGCTTGTACAGGTTGTTCCTTTCCATGTTTAGTGCTTCCTTCAGGAGCTCTGTTAGGGCAGGCCTGCTGGTGACAAAATCTCTCAGCATTTGCTTGTCTGTAGATTTTATTTCTCTTTCACTTATGAAGCTTAGTTTGGCTAGATATGAAATTCTGGGTTGAAAATTCTTTTAAGAATGTTGAATATTGGCCCCCACTCTCTTCTGGCTTGTAGAGTTTCTGCGGAGAGATCAGCTGTTCGTCTGATGGGCTTCCCTTTGTGGGTAACCCAACCTTTCTCTCTGGCTGCCCTTAACATTTTTTCCTTCAACTTTGGTGAATCTGATAATTATGTGTCTTGGAGTTGCTCTTCTCAAGGAGTATCTTTGTGGCATTCTCTGTATTTCCTGAATTTAAATATTGGCCTGCCTTGCTAGATTGGGGAAGTTCTCCTGGATAATATCCTGCAGAGTGTTTTCCAACTTGGTTTCATTCTCCCCATCACTTTAAGGTACACCAATCAGACATAGATTTGGTCTTTTCACATAGTCCCGTATTTCTTGGAGGCTTTGTTCGTTTCTTTTTATTCTTTTTTCTCTAAACTTCTCGCTTCATTTCATTCATTTGATCTTCCATCACTGATACCCTTTCTTCCAGTTGATCAAATCGGCTACTGAGGCTTGTGCATTCATCACGTAGTTCTCATGCCGTGGTTTTCAGCTCCATCAGGTCCTTTAAGGACTTCTCTGCATTGGTTATTCTAGTTATCCATTTGTCTAATTTTTTTTCAAAGCTTTTAACTTCTTTGCCATTGGTTTGAATTTCCTCCTGTAGCTCGGAGTAGTTTGTCTGAAGCTGCCTTCTCTCAACTCGTCAATGATTCTCCGTCCAGCTTTGTTCCGTTGCTGGTGAGGAGCTGTGTTCCTTTGGAGGAGGAGAGGTGCTCTGATTTTTAGTTTCCAGTTTTTCTGCTCTGTTTTTTCCCCATCTTTGTGGTTTTATCTACCTTTGGTCTTTGATGATGGTGATGTACAGATGGAGTTTTGGTGTGAATGTCCTTTCTGTTAGTTTTCCTTCTAACAGTCAGGACCCTCAGCTGCAGGTCTGTTGGAGTTTACTGGAGGTCCACTCCAGACCGTTTGCCCAGGTATCAGCAGTGGAGGCTGCAGAACAACAGATATTGGTGAACAGCAAATGTTGCTGCCTGATTGTTCCTCTGAAAGTTTTGTCTCAGAGGAGTACCCGGCCATGTGAGGTGTCAGTCTTCCCCTACTGGGGGATGCCTCCCAGTTAGGCTACTCGGGGGTCAGGGACCCACTTGAGGAGGCAGTCTGTCTGTTCTCAGATCTCCAGCTGCTTGCTGGGAGAACCACTACTCTATTCAAAGCTGTCAGACAGGGACATTTAAGTCTGCAGAGTTTTCTGCTGCCTTTTGTTTGGCTATGCCCTGCCCCTAGAGGTGGAGTCTACAGAGGCAGGCAGGCCTCCTTGCGCTGCAGTGGGCTCCACCCAGTTTGAGCTTCCCAGCCACTTTACCTACTCAAGCCTCGGCAATGGCAGGTGCCCCTCTCCCAGCCTCGCTGCCGCCTTGCAGTTTGATCTCAGACTGCTGTGCTAGCAATGAGCGAGGCTCCTTGGGCGCAGGACCCTCCAAGCCGGGCGCAGGATATAATCTCCTGGTGTGCCGTTTGCTAAGAGTGTTGGAAAAGCGCAGTATTAGGGTGGGAGTGGCCCAATTTTCCAGGTGCCGTCTGTCACCCCTTTCTTTGACTAGGAAAGGGAATTCCCTGACCCCTTGTTCTTCCTGGGTAAGGTGATGCCTCGCCCTGCTTTGGCTCATGCTCGGTGCACTGTACCCACTGTCCTGCACCCACTGCCTGACACTCCCCAGTGAGATGAACCTGGTACCTCAGTTGGAAATGAAGAAATCACACGTCTTCTGCATCGCTCACGCTGGGAGCTGTAGACTGGAGCTGTTCCTATTCCCTTACCAGCTTCCATTCCAGCCCACAAGGACAAAGGCATCACATACATATCCACTGTGGCTAACCTGTCCTCAGCAGGGAGTTTCCCCAGTACTACTCTCCCCTCTGTTCTGAGCCTACTTGCTCCTTTGTAATGTTTCTGCTTTCTGTCCCACTCCCTAATAGATGATTTGTCCTCTCTGCCCAGCCCCCTAGTTCTGATATTTGGATTGTCTGTGATCTGGGTAGTACTTAGAAGGTAGAACCAAAGCCTTGTTGATTGGATTGGGAGTTTCTAACTTCTATTAAAGGCACTGATTAAGCATCTATTATATAAAGTAAAGTAAGATTATGATCCAGTAAGACAGATTCCACAAGTAGCGCAGGAAGAATTGGTTTCTAGTACACTTCATGCTTCAGGACAGGAAATCCAGAAAAAAATTCTGTGGTACATTAAGTGTGAACTGTAAGTTTCATTTCCATGTGAAAAACTGTAGTTAGCTAAAAAGTACATCCATGAAGAATCCTGATTAAACTTGTTTAATCCTGGTTAAACTAGCTAAACAATAATTTCACAACTCAAGAACTCTGTAAAAGCATTTCCTCTGAATATTTTATTCAGAAAAAAACACAGAAAGATAAGGCAGAAACAAAAATCCCAGTCACTTGCAGTATCTGTCGGCTTTCAATTTGGCTCTCCTGTTTAAACAAAGAAAAATAAAATTAATCTATGTAAAACATGCCATATATATTCAACTGCTACTAAATATAAAAAGCTTTAAAACTGTGTGTTCAATTTTGGTTATTACCACAACACTTTTATTAAAATATGTATACTTTTAAATTTGGTTTCTATAAAAAATGGATTCTAATCTTATAAAAGTTATTTCCTAATATTCAATAAATGTTGCCTAAGGGCTTTTTCAATCCAAATAGCAATTTTAATTATTCCGGAATTTAAGGCTGCTCTAAATTTCCATTTAACAGGGTGAGAATGCTGTATTATTACAAGTGATAAAAGTTACAGGACATAGAGCTTATTCCGTTTTAGAGTCCACATCCTGATTATATTTTATATCCTCTTCTTGATTTCTTACAATGAGATACATATTCATTTGCTCAGCTGGAAAAAATTCTTAACATTATTTACTGACTTTAGGTATGAACACTACCAGCTAGTTAACAGGAAATACGTAATTAAACATTGCCTTTATCAAGTAATGTAAAAAAAAGGGTAAGAGTAACTTTGCAACATACGACTTGAATGAGCGGCTGGTGATTATCAAAATCTGGCACTTAATTGATTTATACTTGTACACTCACAGCTAAACGTCTCTGTTTTTCTATGTCATAAATCTAGGACATTACTTATCTACCTAGGAAGAGTAATAAATATTAATAATGTGGTATGATAAACATCCTGCACTCTTCCAAATCTTATAATAAAACTGCTTCAATTTCACTTGTTTAGCTTTTATACTTAGTTTTTTAGTTGATCTATTCTTATTTTAAGGAACCTGAACTACTCTAACAGAATCCACATAATTTTTATATTAGTCAAACTGCTTCTAACTCTGGTTCTAATAGTTATAAAAAGATGATAAATTTATGAAGTAGATACAGTCAAACCTGAATTTCTTCAAGTATATACTTAGAATCGGTTATAATTTTTAGATATTCTTTCATGACAGTCTTTTCCCAAACTTACGATGTCCTCTTTAGGTAATATTGCCACACTCATAAATTAGAAATAAAGACAAAAATGTGAAAAACTACAGTAATTTAAGAGAATGTAGGTTTTCTACATGCCATTTCTATTGGCTACTGAAAATAGTGGAAATAAGTAAATAAATAGCTACCTGTCCAGAAGCGTCTCATGCAAAAATCCATCTTTCCGAGCCTTTTTAAGAATTTTACTGTCTTCTTTACTTATTTTAAGTTTGTGGTCTTGGAAGCTCTGAAATTTCTTTCTGTAAAGAAAATGTCTTCATTGAAAAATACCTCAAACTCTGATTATACATATTTACTATTAAATTTATAAATACTGTTAATTTCTTTTTCACTTGTAAAAAAGTCTAATTGTAGGCCAGGCGCAGTGGCTCATGCCTGCAATCCCAGCACTTTGGGAGGCCAAGGCAGGCACATCGCTCAAGGTCAGGAGTTCGAGAACAGCCTGGCCAACATGGTGAAACCCCATCTCTACCAAAAATACAAAAATTAGCCGAGCATAGTGGCACGCGCCTGTAGTCCCAGCTACTCGGGAGGCTGAGGCAGGAGAATCACATGAACCTGGGAAGCGGAGGTTGCGATGAGCCGAGATCGCGCCATGGCACTCTAGTCTGGGGGAGAGAGCGAGACTCCATCTTGGGGGAGAAAAAAAAAGGTCTAATTGTATTTTTTTAAATAAGCTGGAGCTTTTCAACAAAGATGACCTTCATGACCTCTCAAGAGGAGGGCCACTCATTGACTGGGTAGCACAAGGCCCCACTTCTATTAGGGCATGCTGGCTAGAGTCCCCTGTGTCCTGGCCATAGCACAGCCTTTGACTGGCATCACACCCATTCTATGAATGAATAGAGAGATTGACTAACCTGAGTGACTAGCTTTGGGAGGTGGTAGGATGATTAGGAAAACTGAAGCCTCAAGAAAAGAAAAGCATTTAGCTCAGTGCTCTGTCCTAGAGGCTACATTGTGTCGTCTCTTCTTGTCCATCAGTTTCATTTTTTCAGACACGGTCTTGCTCTGCCACCCAGGCTGGAAGGCAGTGGTGATCAGAGCTCACTGCAGCCTTGAACTCCTGGGCTCAAACAATCCTCCTGTCTCAGCCTCCCGAGTAGCTGGGCCTATAGGCATGTACCACCATGCCCAGCTAAGTAGGTAATTTATTTTGAAAGCACTTTGAGAAGCACTTCACTGTCAAATCTGTAGGTCTAAAAGGAAAAGAATACATACACATAATTGATTTCACATTGTTTTACATTTCCTTTGTCTTCTTCTGGAATGTCATCTTTTTTCTTGGTTTCTCTTTCAGCACAGGATCTAATCTAGATATTGGAAAAGAGAATCCAATGGGTTATATGTTTATCTTCCACCTTCCCCACTTTACGTATCACATAAGAACATTCGAGATGATTTCTTATGCAGAAGAAAAAATTAACTGAGCAACTATATTCAGAAAAAGGTTCTGGCTATGTGTTTTTACTTCATATATATAATCTATATGAGTAAGTGCTATCACATGCTTCCTCCACAGCATTGTGTCAGAAACACTACAGACAAAATTATTTCAGAAACATTTTACACATCAGATCCTGCTAGGAAATAAAGCGATCATTAACTAATTTAATTTTGTCCTCCAAGTGAATACACTAGGATCAAATTATCCCTAGTAGACAAGTGTTCATTTGATCGGATTGAAAGCTTAATAGCTATTTTATGTTGCACAGACTATTACCAAAGTATTAAAACTTTTAACATTACACAACTTGTTTTTAACTAATTGGAACCCACCTCTTTTACTAGCTTCTTATATCCTCCTAAGTTTGGATAGATGTTTACTACCACATGTCATAAGTTAATTAATCTGCATTCAACAATTAGGATCACCCACAGAACAGGCAATTAGCAATGGTAAGGACTCATGTCTCCTAAGGGATCTCTGTGGCCAGAGTCCAGTTCCAGGGCTGCTTAGAAAGTGATGACAAATAACGTGTTTGTGCAAATGACATCTTTGTGACAGTTCTGATTAGAGGGGTCCCAGACCTGAAAACATTCCCTGCTAGGGCCTGTAACACAAGGCTACCTTTAGTAAGAGGGATCTGTGTTCTGGTCATAAAGCTGAAGGGCTGACAGAGGTAACACAAGGCTACCTTTAGTAAGAGGGATCTGTGTTCTGGTAGATAAGGCAAGGTCATAAAGGTGAAGGGCTGACAGAGATTAGGAGAGCCTGCAATTAAATGGTAAAGGAAAAGAGTCCTAAATAATCACTGTTCAGAGCTTCCAGGTACTTGACTAACCAAAGAGACCCAGAAAACTTTGTATTTCGTCTGAAAATTGCTTTAAATAGTGAAAAAGGCAATCTTTGTGTAAGTATCTTTGTATCTTTGTATAAGTGCAAAGCACTGCACATATATTTGCAATTGTTGCCTTCAGTAACACTTTTGTGATGATATCCAGATGCAAAATAATTTAAACATGATACAATAAAATATAAATAAATAAAATTAAATGTAAGTCACAAACCCATCTGCATTTCCCCAATGACCTGTTTCCTGAGAAGCAATGTGCTATGAAATATTGAGAGTGGCCTCTGGAGTCAGCTGGGCCTGGGTACACATCCTGTCTTACCACACCTTGAAATCACTGTGATTTCCATGAACTGACTGACAAAAACCACGAGGATGTAAGGAGGGTCAGAGGCTGTCTTCTTGTCTGTAATGCTGAGCTCACATCCACCTCACAGGGGCATTATGGAAATTCAAGACTACAACGCATGTGCTGGGTGCATGCAATGAAAAAATATAACATTTCCCTTCTGTAAGAAAATACCTACATTTTAGATTGAAATTGTTTGAGCTTTAGATTTGAAATTATTTGAAATCAAGACTATTCTAAAAAGAAAATCAAACTTATGACAGGAAATCTAACATGAAGTATGTACAGAGATTTGATAGATGCTTTTAAATTGCACTGGTAGTAGAGAAAAATGTAACATAAATTTTTATGCTCTAATTATAAGAACGAAGGGCATTTTAGAAAAGGCACTTGCCCCCTCTCTTAGAGCCTTCCACTCTGGCCCCCACAATGCCTTACAGAGGAAATCTGGGTCAGACTGGATGCAACCTGTGATTCCCAACAGAGACAAACAAAGCAAGGTTCAGGATGCTCAGTACTGAGATGGAATGCCAAGACACAGAAAAGCCATGTGTCAAGAAGTGGGGAGTTATTCTTTAGACACATCCTGGTATATGTTTATCATTAAAGATCAGTGGCTTCTGTGAGTCTAAAAAATTAAGCCTTAAATGTTTTCATCAGATTCCAATTAACTACTTGATTTATCTAGGTTATATTAACAGTATTATTTAGAATTTCACCTTGATATGAAGATGTCTGTGTAACTTTTACAATGATGTAAAACAAAGAGTAGGATTAGAGAGGGCACAGGCCACTGGTGCAATGGATAACGCGTCTGACTACGGATGAGGGAATTTAGCCTGGAATAAGGAACTTTTATTTCCAGCTTAGTGACGCACACAAATTTTAAAAATAAAATAAAAATCATGTTTTATGTGATTCATGTTTCTCCTAATGCAAAGAAGACGGGTACTATTAATAAAAATATTTTTAAAATCTGAGGGCTAAGGCCCCAGAAGTTCTGCTATGATTTTTTATGTTTCATAGAGTGATTATCATCACAGAAGCTCAAGCATTACGTAAATACAAACGCATATACCCCGACCTGGTAATTCTGCTTCTGGAAATTTACCTTCAGGTCCACCCGCACATCTACAAACTGATGCATATTCAATGTTATGTACTGCAGCACTGTTTATAAGAGCAAAAGACTGGAAACAGCCTAAATTTCCATCTATAAAAGACTAAATAAATTAAGGTACATCCCTGAAATGGAATATTATGTGGCTGTTGAGAGAGAGAGAAAGAGAGGAAAAGCAAGAAAAAGAGAAAACTTTCTACATTCAAACTCATAGTAGAAAACTCTCCAAGATACAATTTTAAGGAAAAAAAAAAATTGAAGTCTAGACTATAGAGGAGGCTACCTTTAGCGTAAAACAGTTGAAAATTATAAACATATTCATATGTTTATAAAGAAATTTTAGGAGGCTATAAAAAAACAAAGGGAAAGACGAACAGGTGCTGGGACACAGGTGAGTAAGACGCATGGCAGGCATACGTCTTCACATGCTTTTATTTGAAAATGTTGGACCACGTGTACATGTTATCTATTTTAAAAATTAGATTTTAAAATACAAGCAAGAAAACAAGAAAATGAAAGCTTAAAAAGAGCATGTGGAACTACCAGAAGAAGATACTAATCCATGGAGATAATGGCAAGGTAGCTCCTAGATGCACTCATTTCTCTACCACATTGTATAAACAAGACATCAACTATGGGATTTATAATTAAAAATGAGTCTATTTGAAACACCACATTATAAAAAGCTATTAAGTAAATCTTTAAAGTGACAGTAAATGACCATTTAACATTTTAAAGAGATACAGTCACATCGCATGTGTGAATGCAGTCATCTGTATAAAATGTCATCATTACCTTGATCATTTCTTCTTCTCCTGCTGTTTTACTTTTTGCTTCTATGTCCCCTGCTTCATTGCATCTAATAAAGCAGCTATTTGAGGCCAACAAAGCCATTTTCCCCTAAGTGAAACAAATAACAAAATAGCCATGAGGATACTTCTTGTGGGAGAAACATTAAGTGTTTAGACTGAATTAATTTTTCCTCCCTGATTTAAAAATCACAGAAAAGAACTTAGAGAAAAACCTGAAAAATATAATACAAGAACATATAGAAAAGAAACCAAAATCACCTATCATTTTACTATTCAAAGATTACCACAATAAACATTTGTAGTGTATCTTCCTAGTAGGACTAAATTCTAAGTAGATGAGGTAGGATTGCTTCCTTTCTAAAAGATCTACTGAAGACATAACTGATTTAGTTCAGTTTGAAAAATTAACTTTAAAGACAAGAACATAATTATGAATGCATACTTTATTCAAATATTAGCATTTTAAGTAAAATTTATTTTCTTCACAATTAGAAAACATGAAAAGGTACATACAATGCTTTGGTGTTTTGAATTTAAGAATCAATGTCTGAGGGACTTTTGTGTGTGAAAATAAATATTCATATACTTTTTTAGTTGTTTAATGTTTGATATATTACACTGCTTTCTATTAAAACTTTAAAGACTGATTTTCTTGTGTATCTAAATCTGGGTTATAAATTTGGTTAGCTTAACTCCCTTAACAAATATAATGTTTATTTATAACTTGTATTTGGTTGATTCTTTTGGAAAACTTGGAATACCATAACATTTAGACAAAATATTTATAAATACAATGATTACAAAATATGTTAACCTTATATCACATCAAGTTAAAAAAGTGCTGATAACATGGATTTAATTTCTTAGTCAAGGTCACAAGGGCTGGGTGGTCTCTCATCTGGATGGCTCCTGGTGAGCCCTGGAACATGGTGGTGTGGTCCAAGACGATTTAAACCTGTGCCACAGATTATTCAGCTGAGTCCCTTTTGCAATAGTTTTAAGACCCTCTTTCATTTAAATTTAAATTTTTGAAACTTAGTGTCCTTCCTAAAAATAAAATGAAACGAACTTTCCTAAAGTGTTGTATTATTAGTACTATCTAAGTCATCATCTAAGGCCTTATGATATATTGGCCTTTTCTACCGGTGTAACTTTTATTAGAAGTATCTCATCCTAACTAGTAGGATCATCTCAAAGGGGTTGCAACACATTAGCGGGTCATGAAATCAATGTAGTGTTGTTTCCTGTACGGTATGGGGGGCGGGGGAAGGAATACACACAGACTCACAGAGGAAGGGGTAAAAGAGAATAAGAAATATCAAGGTGCATAACACATGGATAAGTAAGTATTGTTAAGTACAACTCTTGCTTCAGTTATACATGTGTGCTGGGCTGCAATGTAAAAATGCATTTCTCAATGGGTTGGGCCAAAATAGTTTTCAAGTCACTGAGTTAAGATTTTATCCTAGGGGATGAGGAAATTAGTCTAAGTGATTACCTCTTTCTGGAGGGATGTTTGTTTAATCTGTCATCTTAGAAAACACTGCTGAGTTCCTATTTTCAATTCATTAGTGTATACTACCAAAGCTGCTACTCAAAGGCTAAGCTTATCTTCTATTTGCTTGCTCTGCGTGGTGCCCATTGGTCCTTACTGTTTTTGATAAAGTTATCTACTTTTTAAAGACTGTTTAGCACTCACATATTTTTGTTCAATCTTTACTTCTCACACAAACAGAAAAAGGAAATTATGTATTCTGTGTCAACAAAGATTTAACAAAACATCCATATACAACTGTCTACTTACTAAAATTAAGAATTAGTATATTATCTTTTTTCTTCTTATATTAAAACTATCTTTTCGTATGCTATTTTAAGCTTATGAACTGAAAGTCTTTTAGAGATAATTTACTTCAATGAACTATTATTATTTATTTTATGCACAAATTGTCACAACTTGGTCTTAGCAAGCTCCACTGTTCGCTTACAGTCTCTAATGTTTCTGAAAGCATCCATGATTTCTGCTACAAAGATACTTAGGAACTACTCTGTTTTCCTACTCTGAGACCTAAAATTGACTGGTTCTTCAATGGAAATGAGATCCATATCTAGGCACTAAGGGTATACAGAAATAATTGTGGGCAAAAGGACTAATGCGATTTTTGTTGCACTATATTTTGAGATCTCTTTAAGGCTCTATGTTCTTATTGATTTATTCCTATTTAATGTATTACACTATTGCATCCTACTTTTTCTTTTTAAATATATTATGATTGACTGTTAACAGACTTTCTGTTAAACTGACAGGAAGTTTTTATAAACAATAACAGCACTTACATTTTGAAAGACTGGTTCCCATTGTTCTCTTGGTCCAATTGCATCTGAACGCCCAACAACAAGTCCATCTGAATTTATACCAAGATATTTTCCATAGCCAGACTTCAGGGCGATTCTGTACATTAATAACATAGATAAAAGTTAAAGACTGAGAGAAAATTAATTATAGGACATCAAAACAGGACATGCGTATGTGTGTGGCTGTGTACATATCTAAAATTTCAGACTGCACATATTCCAAGTCTTCAAAAGCTGCATGTGGCTGAGTGGTGACTCACTCCTGTAATCTCTGTGCTTTGGGAAGCCAACGGGAGAATTGCTTGAGGCAAGAAGTTCAAGATCAGCCTGGACAACACAGTGAGACCCCATCTCTACAAAAAATTTAAAAAGTTAGCTGGGCATGGCGGCATGCACATGTGATACCAGCTACTTGGGAGGCTGACGCAGGAGGATTGCTTGAGCCCAGAAATTTGAGGTTATAGTGAGATACGGTCACACCACTGCACTCCAGCCTGGGTGACAGAGTGAGACTCTGTGCCTTTAAAAAAAAAAAAAAGAAAAAAGCTACATGTGACTAGTTGCTGCCATGTTGGACAGTGCAGTTTTAAATTTAGTTTTATATTGTGCTTTTTTAATATAAACATTGTACCTTATATATTACATAACAAATATTTTTGAAATTCATCATTCTTCAATTATACCTCTTTAGTTATAAAGTTCAAGAATAAATTACTAAAACTTACTTTTTCTCTTATTATAAATAGTTCTATGTACATCTATTCTGTACATAAAACTGCTTTATCCTTAGAAAAAATTCCTAGAAATAACTGGATCGAAGAGTATAAAGTTCTTATGTCATCAAACTGTTTTCCAGAAAATGCTGCTTCCATTTACATTCTTACCTCAAATTAACAGAGTATGTTTTGTATCACGCATTTTTTTTTAAACATTATGACTTTAAAAAAATACTTGAAAACCTGATATGGAAAAAACAGTATCCTATAAATTTGCATTTTAGTAGTTAACTAGAATAACAATTGTTTTTCTTTTCCTTTCCTTTTTAGTTTTTAGATTATCTGGTAATGTCCCTTGTCCATTTTTCTATTGAGATCTGATTGTTCGCAGTTTTTCTACTGGGGTCATCAGTGCTATGAATTCTATACAAGATACATATGAAGAGTAAGAACTCACTGCCTATTAAGATTGTTGCAAATATTTTCCTCATTTGTCAGTTAATTTTCTTTATAATCCTTTTTTGTTTATAATTGTAAAGCAGTTTAAAACTATTGAATTTTTTCTTCCTCTGCTTTTATTCTGTCTTTCACCATACTTATCAGACTTTCAAAGAAAGTACAGAAATAATCATCTTAATGTGATTTTTTAAAATTATGATTTCTAATCTTTTACCTTACCGAGAATCTCCTGGGATGCCAGAATTGACTTTTACTCCTTTATACATTAATGATTATATAACAGAAATCATTATCATATTGATGTAACCAATTACTAAAATATGTAAATTCACTTTCAGTATCTTCTGCCCAAAGAATCGTTCTATACTTTTGCACAAGGTGAGAATAAAAAAGGTTACTTTATAAAATGACTGTAAAAATAGTGAGTAAAAATATTCTTTTGGTCGTTATGATTCTGTAACATTCTCTGCTGGTTTCAACAATATTCCTTTTTTTAGTCTTCCTGTTTGCCTTTGGACTTCCAAACAGTGAGTTTAAATATCACAGCAACAGTGAACCAGGTTTTGTACTATTTGATTCATTTTTTAATCTATCTTATTCGGTATGTGAAATTATTAATCTTCACTTTTTAACTTATTTTTTTTCCAGCCTAGCATTATATATTGATAGGAAATCCATTAAAAGTAGATCACAAAATCTACTTTTCAAAAAAGCTATTTTGTTTTTTACATCAAAATTACCCTGTGGGCTTAAGACAGATACTAAAATTTTTAATGAATACAATTAAATTTTTAAAATAACTGGTTACTAATTATATTACAACATAAGCTCACCTGGAATCAGATAATTTGACAGCCGTAAACTGCTCTGGAGGACTAGGGCCCTCATCAACTATTGGAGAAAAAACATTTGAAAATAAATTTGACATTTGCTATAAATATAAAGACATTATTTTGTTTTAAAAAATGTGGCTATTTTCTTCTGCAATTAAATGTAAGAATATTCAGATATACTGATGTCACTGTAATACTGTATCTTTGGAATCAAGATCTATTTTACCTTCTTTTAACTACAGTGTTAATTTTATACACTGAGTAAGACAGGGTGATATAATGCTTATTTAATAACTTTTGAGATAGCTTCTCTTTATGTTTTAAAATACAGTCATAAATAAGCACTTATTTAAAAAGCTAAATGCTTTCACTTATTCAAGGGATGGCCTTGCTGACCAAATGATACTGCTTTTTATCTTCTAATTACTTCATATCTCATTAGTGCTTCCTCTAATGGGCTAAAGAAAATGAGGAAACTTCAAACTGTTAAACGCACCCAGGTTAGTTTTGGCAATAGGTCTGAATAAAAAAGAAATTCAAACATTTTGACTCAAATAGGTTTTCTTTTTTCTTTCCACTTACTATTTTAATTATTCATGTTATTTTGATTTCCAAAGATACTCTTCTGGAACTATACGGAATGTTTTCAAATGCTTATATTAGAAAGAGGGACTTGCCAATGGCTGGTAAATATTAAGGAATTAAAAAAAAATGGAAGAGTCAAATGCAATGGTTCCATTCCTTTGGAAAATGTTTGAGACTAGTTAGAGTTTGGCCTAAGTGAATGAATGTCCTAAAATCTACACTTGTGGCAGCCTCTTCCCTTCCAGACACAAACCTTCTTTGTGTGGAGCTCCCAGGGTAAAAAGACCATTGTCGAGTGCATGTATATAGGTTCCCTTATCCATTTCAATGGCTATGGTTCCTGAAATTTCACCAAAGTTTGTTACTGTCCACCAGATTCCTAAAAAATAAAATCAATATTTCAACTTTATATTTTAGTTTTGACACAGAGTTCTTTTTTTTGTTATTATAACTTAATTTTAAAAACTTCTTATTTTGCAGTTGTAAGAAATAATACAAAGATCTCACATATTCTTTACTCACTTTGTCTCGATTAAATCTTGCATAAGTATCATACACTGTCAGAATCAGGAAACTGAAATTGATATAATCCATGAAGCTTATTCAGATTTCACCAGTTTTACATGTACTTGTTTGCATGTATGTGCAGAGATTCATGCGACTACCAGCACAGTCAGGATTAGGTTTTTAAAACATAAAATAGCAACATACAGCCAGGCATGGGGGTGCATGCCTGTAATCTCAGCTACTCGGGGAGCTGGGGAAAGAGGATCACTTGAGCCCAGAGTTCAACGTTATAGTGAGCTATGATCATGCCACTGCACTCTAGCCTGAGTGACAGAGCAAGGTCCTGTCTCAAAAAAAGACCAAAACAAAACAAGAGGCAACATGTGAAGGTACAAAGTGACATATAGAGAATGGTCTCTCTCATGATAGACCCCAGTCATCTATTTCATGCCTGCTTTCCAGAGCCAATGCCTATCATAATGTTTCTTAAAAATGCCTCTACAGGAAGACTTTCTAGCATAGCAATCTTTTTTTTTTTTTTTTTGAGACGGAGACTCGCTCTGTCGCCCAGGCTGGAGTGCAGTGATGCGATCTCGGCTCACTGCGACCTCTGCCTCCCGGGTTCAAACAATTCTCTGCCTCAGCTTCCCGAGTAGCTGGGGTTACAGGCGCCTATCACCATGCCTGAATAATTTTTTTTGTATTTTTAGTAGACACGGGGTTTCACCACATTGGCCAGGCTGGTCTCAAACTCCCGACCTCGTGATCCACCCGCCTCTGCCTCCCAAAGTGCTGGGATTACAGGTGTGAGCCACCGCGCCTGGCCAGTAATCTTAACTATGATTTTAGATTGAAAGTAAAATGAGCAGAATCTATGTCTATGTATACTAATTTCCAATTTGCCAATAGAAATATTAGACTCTAGGAACAATTATTTAAGCCGTTGTTATAAAAGTTTATATCTTAATGTTAAAAAATATCCTCAAACCTCCTCCTAAATTGTACTTTAGCTAGAGTAGAAATGAGTCAATCATTAACTGGATATGACATATTAAGGAATTCTTGTTAATTTTACAAGGTCTGATAATGACATAGTATAATATATAAAAATAAAGAACAAAACAGGTGATGACAGAAAGACATACCACGTTAAGAAATGTACGTTTATGTACTCATGGGTAAAATGACATAACATCTGTGATTTTACTTAAAATTTTCTAAGAAAAAATGTGTGTGGGGGCATGTGTGTAAATGAAATGAGATTGGCAAAATATTGATAATTAATGCTGGGGCCTGGGCACATGGGGGACTCATTATATTCTTCTATGTATGGAATAGTTTGGATATTTCCATAATAAAAAGGTTTTAAAGATTCAGTTAATTCCACTGCACAAAATTTTCTATTCAACTAAACATTTCATGCTTTCCATAATAAATTTTAAAATACATAAAATTTTAGCTAAAATGAAGTTGGACCCTTATCTAATGCCAAATACAAAAAGTAACTTAAAACAGACCAAAGACCTAAATGTAAGAGCTAAAGTTAGAAAACTTTTAGAAGAAAATGGGAAAAGCTTCACGACATGAATTTGGCAATGATTTCTTATGTAGAACATCAAAGGCACAGGCAACAAAAGAAAACGTGGACAAACTGGACTTCATCAGAATTAAAAACTTTTGTGCATCAAGAACCGCCATCAACAGAGTAAAAGGCAACCCAGGGAATGGAGAAAATATTTGTAAACTACATACATTATAAGGAATTAATATCCAGACTATATAGAGAACTCCAAAAAGACAAATACCACAATTCAAAACTGGGCAAAGGATATACACGGACATTGCTCCAAAGATGATATACAAATGGCCAATAAGCACTTGAAAAGACGCTCAACATCACTAGTCACTAGGGAAATATAAATCAAAACCATAATGCAATACCACTTCACACCCATTAGAATAGCTATTATCAAAACAAACAAACAAACAAAAAACAGAAACCAAGAAAGCCAGAAAAACAAATGTTGGGCAGGATGTGGAGAAACGGAAACCCTGTGCAATGCTGGTGGGAAGGTAAAATGGTGCATGTATTTAAATGCCACTGAAGCATACACGTAAAAATAGAAAAACTGGCAAATTCTATATTCTGTATATTTTACCTCCACACACACACAAAACCAATGGAGAAAAAGAAAATTAATCAAAATTAAAATTTCAGCTAAAGACAATTAAAAAGAAATAAAACTAATAAGCAATTTAGATGATTGAATTATAGCTACAATTGTTTTCAGGAAAAGAAATAATGCTTTATTCAGAATCATTATCAACAGTGTTATGATTAGCAAGTCTTTCTTATAAATATAATAGTTAATGATTTTAAATTAGATTTATTTTGTATGTTCTATGCCACATTGACCAAGTACACTTAATATTAAATAAAATCATTTAAATATAATAACTCATTAATGTTTTGCAAATGAAGAAGAAATTTCTGGCAGACAAGCTCCTTAAAATTTTCACACTCTGTCCAAGTAGGGAAATGATACAATAACGTTACTTTAATATTGTCAACTGAAAAAGAAATTACTTTGAGCAGATGCCAGTATTTTTTCTCAATGCAATTTCAAAGAATAAGAAATATAAACACAGTATCATCAAGAATTAAATGTGAGCATTCTGCCTACTTTCTGCAAGTGGCCTACATTCAACCTTTGGAGGTATGCTTATATGTTTATCGACTAAAGTAACATAACATAATACTTAATGGTGCCACTCTGGGGTTTTAGCTGTGAGAAAGCAGTGGATCCTATGAACACGGGCACTGAAGTTGCCTGTCTCTACGTCAGGTGACAGCTCAAGCTGTGTATATGGTGCAGATGCCCAAGCTGAATTTAAGAGAATCCGCTCTAAAACATTACTTGCTATTTAGACACATGCTTAAAGTTATTTCCTTTTAAACCTTAGGCAGATGGTGAAATATTCCTGCTGTGTTGTCTCACAATGCATGAGAAAGCTTTACACATATTGTCACATAGTTTAGAATGTTTACATATGTCTGGCATGCCTGTAATCCAGCACTTTGAGAGGTGGAAGCAGGAGAATCACTTTAGCCCAGGAGTTCAAAATCAGCCTAGGCAACAAAAGGAGACCCCCATCTCTACAAAAAAATTAAGAAATTAGCTGGGTGTGGTGGTACGAGCCTGTGGTCCCAGCTACTCGGGAGTCGGAGGTGAGAGGATTGCTTGAGCCTACGAGGTCGAGGGTGCACTGAGCCACGATCATGTCACTGCACTCCAGCCTGAGCAACAAAGCAAGAGCCTGTCTCAAAAAAAACAAAACAAAAAAATGGCCCAATGCACCAGTGTCATGGCTGATAAGATAGTACCAGGGCACCCTCATTCTAGCATCAAGGCTGTGTGACAGCTCACCTCACCTTCTGACTAACCCAGTGCTTCCGTGCTAAGGGCCCCCTTAAATCTCTACTATCATTATGTGCTTGGCACAAAGGAATGATATATCTTAGATTTGGAAATGGAATTTTCTTCCCCAATCTTACTGTAGTCTAAGTACCCTTCACAGACCTTCTATTAATCCACAGCTGACTTAGCTTTAGTTCCTGGGTAAATAAAATATATGTGTTTTGCAAAGTACGATGTTGTAAGTCCAACTGCTTCTGAATCTAGCAGAGCTCAGTGAAACTCTTTGCCTACAGACATGCTCGTTTTTATTAATGTCACACTTGGTTTTCTCCATGTGAAAGACAGAATTTCTTTCATCCTATTTACCAATCCCTTCAGATCCTTGTGAGGAACCAACAGAACAGCTTTAAAAAATTAAAAGGTTTTTTTTCTTTCCCTTCACAAATAGGCACATGCTTACTTATACGGCAAGTTTAGAAAATCCACAATGCAAAACCATGTGGAAGGACAAAGAGAAAAAGACGCAGAAGGACTTCCTCTTCCAGCCAAGATGGACTTGCCCTCCCACCATGACCAACGAGAAAACTGAAACTGGATAGAATATTTGAGAAAACTGTTTTCAGAGATTGGAACACAGGCAGAACAGGACTGTGATATTTGAGAACAGGAAAACACTGGAGGCAAATCTCATACACACTTGTGTTTTCTGCCCAATGGCAGTTTCTTGACCACACGGAGAGAGGTAGAGACCTCCAGAAATGAGGCAATGTCACTGTCACTAAGCTGAGAGTCTTACAGTGCTAACATGTTGGGAGTTTATAGAATAAGGTACTGGAGAAGAGGGAACTACATACAGGTGAGGCCTCAAAAGAGTACGCAAAAGTTCTCTGCAGGTCTGTGGCCAAGGGCTGGGGGGAGTGCATGCAGCAGGCAGGCTCCACAAGGCCTCTGCAGAGTGGCTGGCACTTCTGAGGGCTGACTGGAGATGCCAGAGATCACACAAATTTGGGACACAGCAGAGTGGAGAGAACTCACTAAGTATACCTAGAACATGTGGCTGAGGCCCATGAGGATGAACCTTTCCTAGACTAAGAGTCACTGTCTAAGTCTACGAGCAAAACCCTAATAAATAAGCACAAACTAACAAAGGCCCAGGCTTGACAGGAGCAAAAGGGTGGTCAAATAATTTGACTAGGCATCAAGACATTTAACAGAAATAAGGTTAAAATGTTATGAAAATGAAAGACTGAATTTATAAGGAAGACTTAACAATCCTAAATGTGTACACATGACGGCTTCAAAATACTTTAAGCAAAAACTGCTCAAGTAGACAGATCTAGAATTACCGCTGGAGATTTTAACATAACTATCAATACACTGTAGCATTAGTAAAAAATCAGTAAGGACACAGAAGATATGCATAGTCACAAGCTCTACCAGTTGATCTAACAGACATCTAAAGAACACTGAACTGGCCGGGCACCGCGGCTCACGCCTGGATCCCGCCGAGGCGGGAGGATCACCTGAGGTCAGGAGTTTGAGACCAGCTTGGTCAACGTGGTGAAACCCTGTCTCTACTAAAAATATTTAAAAAATTAGCCGGGTGTGGTGGCAGGTGCCTGTAATTCCAGTTACTCCGGAGGCTGAGGCAGGAGATTCACTTGAACCTGGGAGGCGGAGGTTGCAGTGAGCCGAGATTGCACCACTGCACTCCAGCCTGTTGGGCAACAGCGAGACTCCATCTCCAAAAAAACAAACAAACAAACAAACAAAAAACCCTGAACCAACATCTGCAGAATACACATTCAAGTCTACATGGAAATTCACTAAGAAAGTATGTTCTCCAACTATACTATAAATGAATTAGAAATCAGCAACAATAACATACCTATAATATCTCTATGTAGTAGAAATTAAAAACAATATACTTTTAAATAACTCACGTGTCCATGAAAAGAAAAATCACAAGGAAAACTAGATGATATTTTGAATGGAATGAAAATGAAAACAAAATGTGTTGACTATAACTGAAACTAAAGTGGAATGAAGAGATCTAACTCCCTTCCTAAGAAGCAATAAAACAAGAGCAAAGTAAACTGAAAATAAGTTAAAGGGAGGAAAAAAATAAAAGACTGAAAATAAATGAAATAGAAAATGAAAAAAAGAGAAAATAAGTAATATTGAAACAGGCTTGTCCAACCTGAGGGCCACATGTGGCCCAGGCCAGCTGTGAATGCAGCCCAACACAAATTCATAAACTTTCTTGAAATATTATGAGATTTTTTTGCTTTTTTTTTTTTTTTGGCTTATCAGCTTATCGTTAGTGTATTTTATGTGTGGCCCAAGACAATTCCTCTCCTTTCATTGTGGCCCAGGGAAGCTAAAAGATTGAATACACCTGTACTAAACGATCATTAACGATCTAAAATAAATGATCTTGTAAAGAATTGAGAAACCTCCAGCTAGACTGACTGATCCAGGAAAACATAGCAAAAACACAAATTACCAATATGAAGAGACTGCAATACAGATGAGATTCTACGGACATTAAAAGCATATTAAAGGAATATTCTGAACAATTCTATGCCAATAAATCCAACAACTTAGATGAAATTTTCTTAAAAGACACAAATTGCCAAAACTGACACAACAGAAAAATCTGAAAATATCTCTTAAAAAATTTTAATTTTCCCACAAAAAACTAAAACCAAACCAAACAAAACCCTCCGGGTTCAGCTGACTTCACTGGTGAATTCTATCAAACATGTAAAGAACAACTCATACCCATCTCTACACAGCTATTTCCAAAAATAGGAAAGGAGACAGCACTTTCCATCTAATTTTGTGACACCCAGTATCACCTTGACACCAAAATCAAAAAAAGACATTACAAGAAAAGGATACAAAAGTCCAATATCTCCCATCAACACCAATATAGAAATCTTAAAAAAAAACAAAAAACACAAACACCTAGAAATCAAATCTAGCAATATCCCAAAGGACAACGCACCACAACCAAGTGGGGTTTATCTCAGGGATGTAAAGTTAGTTTAAAAGTTGAAAATGAAACCAATATAATCCACTGGCAGAATGAAGAAAGCTGTATAATCATCTCAACAGATACAGAAAGAGGCATCTGACAGCATTAAACATCGTTATGATAAAAACTCCCAAGAAACAAAGTTTTAAAAGGAATGTCCTCATTTTGATAAAAGTTTTCTCTGCAGATCCTACAGACGTCATACCATATGGTGGACTACTGAAAGCTTTCTGCCTAAGCTTGAGAGCAATGCAATTATGCCCATTCTCATGACTTCTGTTCAATGCTATAGAAGTCCTGGACAGTATAATAAACCAATAAAAAGAAAGACAAGACAAAAGGATTAGAAAGAAAGAAGTAAAACGATAGTCACAGGAAACATAATTGCAAATTTCTTAGTTTTCTATATAAGCAAACCACTAGAAGTAATAAGTGAAACAGACTTAGACTACAAAGTCACTATACAAAAATCAATTGTATATCTACATACTGACAGCAAACAACTGGAAAATCAAATTCAAAGGTTCTATTGACAGTAATGTAAAATTATAAAATACTTAAGAATAAATGTTTAAACAGGCATGCAAGATGGCTACATTGAAAATTATGAAATATTGAGGCCCAATATTAAGATGTTGATCTCCCCCAAATGATCTGGACTCAATACAGTTCTCGAGAAAATCCAACAAACTTCACTGCAGAAATTAATAAATTAACAGTTAATAAGTACAAAGTCGGAGGACTCACACTACCTGATCTCAAGACTTCATGAAATTATAGCAATCAAGAGAAATATACCAACAGAAAAACAGACAAACGTATCGATAGAACAGAGTCCAGAAACAGACCAATACATAGAAAGTTAATTGATTTTTTATGAAGATACCAAAGTGGATTAATGGAAAAAGGAAACACCAGTGGTGCTGGCACAACTGGCTATCAAGATGTTTAAAAAAAAAAAGTAAATCTTGAAACCGAACTCACAACATCATGCCAAAATTTAATTTGAGATGAATGACAGATTTAATGTAAAAACTAAAACTATGATGCCTCTAAAAGACAATGTAGAATATTTTCCTGACTTTGGGGTAAGCAAAGATCTCTTAGATCAAAGACATAAGACAGTAACCATAAAAGAAAAAAAAAATAAACTGAGCTTTATAAAAATTAAAAGCTTCTGACCATCCTGGCTAACATGGTGAAACCCTGTTGCTACTAAAAACACAAAAAATTAGCCGGGTGTGGTGGCAGGCACCTGCACTCCCAGCTACTCGGGAGGCTGAGGCAGCAGAATGGCATGAACCCGGGAGGTGGAGCTTGCAGTGAACCGAGATCGCATCACTGCATTCCAGCTTGGGAGACAGAGTGAGAATTTGTCTCAAAAAAAAGCTGCTCATCCAAAAACCACCATTAAGAAACTGAAAAGGTAAAACTCAGACTGGGAGAAAAGACTGATAACACCATCAACTCTTGGCAAGGATGTAACTGGAGCACTAATTCATTCTTGGTAGGAGGGTAAAATGGCACAACCACTTTAGAAAACTTTTGGCATTTTCTTATATAGTTAAACATTCACCTATCCTTTGACACAGCAATTCCACATCTACATATCTACCCTAGATATTTACCCTAATTTTAGAATTGTTGATTTGCCATTTTGAAAGCAATGATTCTTCCAGAACATTAGCTTTATACCATTCCATATTTTATATATTAAGTTACCATAATTTATGAAGATTCAAAATGCAACTTGCCAAGTTTTAAAAGAGAAAAAAATATGTATGGAAAAGAACTAAACGGAAAACAGGCTGGTTAAGTGTGTTTAGGTCAGTTTATTTCTAGTATCATTTACAGGCTACCCTGATGTTGTATTTAAAATTTTCATTCATTTCAGAGTTCACAAAATAATGATTTTTCCTGTGAAGATACTTCCTTTAAGAGACAACCGACTTCTACAATTAAAATGCATACATGTGCAAAGAAAATAACTTGTAAAAGATATTTGGTTGAATAACATTTACATTAGGCCTTTAAAATTATGTATTAGAATCTCTGGCTATTAAGCAGTCTAATGGTGCCTACTAAGTCAGAGAGTTATAATTTTTCTCTCCTGATAATGAAGTAAAGGCATCAGTAGCATCTACTGTGTTAAAGAATAAATGGAATTTATAACTGTAGGTAATATTTAAGCACTTTAAGACAAATATGAATACATCATAAATTTCTAACTAGGAAAACACTTTCAAGGAGATCTCAAGAAACATTAACTTTTTTCAGAATAGAGCACTGAAAACTGACTCACCAACAATATCAAGCTGGGTTTCTTCATCTTCTTCTCTTTTTCTTTTCTTATCTTTGCTCTTTTTCTTCTTACTACAGGACATAATTTATATAGACGAGTTTAGGTATATTGATTTGTACGATAAATATTGTAAGATTGAAACTTGAAAGTCTTTTAAGCTGTTTCATTTATAAATTATTGATTTAGGAAGACTTACATTGATATGCCCTCTTAAATACAGTACTGAGAAGTTGCTTCAGGCTTTGCACATATTACGTTAGAGTTCAAAGCAGATTGTAGAGCCACACTGCCAGATTTTAAATCCTGATTCTTTCACTTCTTAGCTCCGTGATTTTTGGAAAAGGTACTGAATCTCTCTGAGTCAGTTTCCCCACTTAAAAAATTAGGATAGTAACTTAACCTAACTCTTAAGGCTATTGTGAGGATTAAGAGGTAATATGTACCTTCACACATTCCTGGTGGAAATGTAAAATGGTGCAGCATCTACAGGAAACAGTTTGGGGTTCCTCAAAAAGTTAAAGTTACCACATGACCCAGCAATTTTACTCCTAAGTATGTATACCCAAGGGAAATGAAAACATACACCCACAAAAATACTTACATAAGAATATTCACACTAGCATTAGTCACAATAGCCAAAAAGGGGAAACAACCCAAATGTTCATCAGTTGATGAATGGATGAACAAAATGATACATCCATACAATGGAATACTATGCAGCCATAAAAAGGAACAGGCGCTACAACAATGATGAACCTCAATAATGTTATAAGTGAAAGGAGCCAGATACAAAAGGCCACATGTTGCATGATTTCTTAGGAAATATTCAGAATAGGCGATTTCACATAGAGAGCGGATTAGTGGTTGCCAAGGACTAGGAGAGGGGGAGGATGGGATGTGACTGCTTTAATGGGTAGGGGGAGATTTCCTTCTGAGATGATGAAAATGCTGAGCAACTAGACAGTGGTGAACCTCTTGAATATATACTAAAAACCCCTGACTGTACAAAAGGGTGAATTTTATAATTATGAATTATATCTCAATAAAAAAATAAAAAACCAAGAGTGATTTGAAAAAAAGTTAATGTGCAAAGTGCCTACAACAATTTCTTGGCACATTGACAGTGCTATATGAGCATTAATTATGATTATTACGATGATCTTAAGACACCCGTGTCTGCATTTTCATTATAAAGTTTTCAGAAGATAACTCTCCTCTCCTCCCAGGAAATTCACAGAGTAAAAATCTCACATTCATTCAGGATAAACCTGCCATTTATTCTGGCATCTTCATGAGGCCAGACTCCTCGAGAGGGTTCTCAAGGCCAGTGGCTTCAACTCACTCCTTGATACTTTCTATCTCGCCTAAAAATATCAAAACCTCTGTTTATCACGGAGACCAGGAGGAAATACTCGACATTTGTATGTACCTCGGGCAAATCTGCCAGTTAAAAAAGAAGCGGGGATATGAGTGCACAGGTATTTTTTCCTAAAAAGCTAATAAATTACCATTACGACCTCCTCCTCACATTTGGCTCAATTTATTTTCTGCATATATGTTCTCTCATTTAATCCTCACAGTCTTCTAAAAGTATAAAAAACGTCTGAAAGTATAAATGTGTAAACGGAGGTTCAGATATTTGATCTCTTAATGAGTAAATGGAAGTTCAGACATATTAACCAATTTGCCACAAATTACAAAACTAGTAAATGACAAGAGTGCAGGTTCGAGCCCATATCCCTAAAGCCCATATACACCTCAACCACTGTGTGATTCATCCTGGTTTCACTGTACATATTAGATTAGAAAAAATTAATAAGTTTTCTAGAAAGAAAAGAGACAATGGAGAAAATAATAATCCCTAATAAAGGAAATTATCATGAACTACGAGATCAGACTAATGCAGACCCCCCAGGCAGAGGCCTGGAGAGATGCCTCAGGGGACCCAAACTCGTGGGTACGGGGTCACGGGTCACCTGCCCGTCTATCCTGTTTCCAGGGTCGTCCGCGCGGGAGGCTGCCCCTCTCTGCACAGACGCCGGGAACCGCGGCCCGGCCTCCGTCCAGCCCGGACAGGGGCCAGGGCGAAGCCTGGGAGGCCACAAAGCCGGCTCTCCGCGCCACGGCTTCCACCGGAGTTGCGGGGGTGGAGTGCGTCCGAAAAGAACGGAGGAGGCTCCCGCCCAAGCTGCAGGACCCACCTCTTCGTCTTGGTTCCCTTGAGCACGAGCTTGGTAGACTTCACGTAGGAGTACTCGGCCATGGCTCCGGGAAACTTCTGCGCGGAGAGGCTGAGGCCGGTTCTGGACGAGTATGTGAGTCGGGGCAGCACAGGGGCGCGGAGAAACAGAAGCGGACGCGAAATAAACACTCCCTGACAGCCTACGTCTCTGTAGAACCCGCCTCCGTCTTCACCCAAACGCTGAATGGCTCAGAGTTCCACTTCCGGGTTTCTGCCGGGGAGCTACGGCGGCCGCAGAGGGCCAAAAGGCATCCGCGCGCAGCTGCTCCCTGGCGCCCTCTCAAGGAGCCCCTGAGGATTCGCGCCTCCCGGAAGGGAGAAAAGCCCGCCCGAGGCGCGGTGCTGACGGTGGCTGGGCTGCCGGGTGCGCTGTGGAACCGCCTCCTGCTAGAGCAGCGGGCTGGCGACGGTCCTCGCCGGGGCGGGAAGCGGCTCAGGCTGCCCTCGCTGGCCTGCGGCGGCGCGGCTGGAAGCGCGGGCCACTCGTGCGTGGGTCACTCAGGACTGCGCCTCGCGCGACTGTGTGTGCAGGAAACAAGCAGGAAATACCCTAAAAGAGAATGAAGCGCCATGTTGAGGGTCGCGGACGTCGCGAGTGCTGTGGGAATGTGGGCTGAGGTGGAGAGTTATGGTAGCCCGTGTTACAGGCTCAGGGGTCTGAAAGAAGCCTAATCGTGGAGGCGGCATCTGAGGAGGGTCTTGAAGGCTGGGCAGGCATTTGCCCGACAGAGATGGAGGAAGCTAGTCCTGTCTGATGGAGGAAACAGGGCGGAGGCGTGGAGGGAGCCGTGCAGCGCTGGTGTGAGGAGCAGCGAGCAGGCCAGGCCTGTAAAGCAGAGTGAGGGAACCAGGATAGAGAAGGCAAGTCGGGGTCCTGTGGTCGCTGAAGAATTTGAATGAAATCAGTAAACAGGTGAGAGGGATCCATCGCAAGAGCATGGGATGAAAGGAGGAGTAGTCCACGGTGATTCCTCTGCAGCGGTGGGTGTTATTAATCGCGTATGTGACACCAAAACCACCCCACTCAAGCTGTGGCTCTTTCCCTAAAGTAGAAAACCGAGACCAGTTGGGTTCCAAGCATCCACGAAGATCTTATTAAATTCGTGATCCCTGGTGGCACCATGGAGTCAGGATTGGCTCATCTCAAACCTGACTCAGAAACAAAACCGTCACAATGTGCAGAGATGAGCGTCCTTACCGCTATCAACGTATTTTCTGGTGTTTTCACAGTGCTGCGCTTCCTAATCCCCATTCCATGGCAATCCACATGCCATGATGCCCGGAGTCATTAACAAAGGAGACACACAGGGGCTCCTCACGTTGGCTTTCCAGGGTTTTGATGAAAATCTGTTTCCTCGTCTCATACAATGTGGTTAGTAATAGTATCATTTAGGGTTGAAGAATTAAATGGTACGAGTTATATAGGGTGCTTATTATAACCTACATGGAAAATGCCTAGGATATGTTAGCTATGCTCATCACCAACATCGTTATATGATGGTAATAATCAGATAGTCAGGAAGCCTGACACCAAGAAAATGGATACATGCTCTGAAGGAATGAATGTGGAGAGATCAGAAGGTCAAGAACAAAGTCGTACAATATGTCTACAGTAAAGGGATAGAGAAAAGAAAGGCTATAAAAGAAGGAATGAAACAGAGTTAAATTATAGAAATCAAAGCTAAGGAGAATTTCCAGAAAGGGTAGTATCATTTAATATCATAGAAGTTTAGGAGCCCAAGATGGAAAAAAGGCCTCTGGGTAACTGACATTGAGGCAGTCTTTGGGGAAGCTCCATTTCCGATAGAGAAGTAGACTGAAAGTCAGCTTGAAGCAGGGACTAGGTGAAGAAGCTGTTGGCTGGTCGCATGGGGAAATAAATAAGGGATGGCATATGCCGTATTTCTGGATTTCTTTCTTTCTTGCCCAGCCTCTATATATGCACAGAGTTTGGCGAAAACTTACAAAAAATAAAAATGAAACCAATTTCGTTTGTAGACCCAAATACAATGCTTTCTGTTAGAATCAAGATAAATTCATGCCTCTCCCTTCTATTCAAACCGTCAGTTTTGAAATTAAACATCAGCTTTTCTTCTTCATTAAAATCATTTTCAGCTCTTCCCATTGATGGTTTGGGGGAGTTGCATAAGCAGTCAGGTCTTGATGAGTAGAGGAGGAGGGAACAAACACTTTCAGCAAAGGCAGAATTCTGAAATTCTGCTCATATTTTTTTCCAGTAACTTTCCTATGTTTGTGAGGTTATTCAGTCATAAAGATCCTAGTGAAATGTTTTTCAAGCTTTACTAATCATAATCACTGTGGACATTTGTTTAAAATGTGTATTCCCAGGCCTCTCACCTGGTGATTCTGATTCAGGAGATCATGGATGGGACTCAGCATACATGTGTTTGACAAGTATCACAAGTGGTTCTTATGGTCAGGCAAATTTGGGAAACTAACCAGGAATTTATGTTTTTATGACTGGCAGCTAGAAAAGATTCCTAGAGTCTTTGCTTTTTGAAAATAAAATATTTCTTTTTTAAAAGGAAAATTGTATGACTAGATACAGCATTTATACATGTGATAAATGTACTATACTGTGTGCTTTTGTCATATTTACAGTTAAAGATGTGTAAGAACACTCTGAGAAAAATTGTATATTAAATGAAAAGAGGGGTAAGTCAGGGTGGGGGAGAAATGAGAAGGGTGTGCTTATTGTTGCTAAAAGTTAGAAAAGCCAGAATGATAGCATCTAAGGTTGCAAATAGCACACTGTAAGTTGAGGGAGCTTCACAATCATGTCTGAAGCCTTCTTTGATATGCTGAGTTGTAAACAGTGGCTTTGGACAAGATTTGAGGGAGAAACCAACTATGCTTTAAAGTGTTCATTTAAAAGTCTTTAATTAAAGGAAAGTCTTTGCATTTACTTGAGCTAATTTAACTTCAGGACTTTAAGAAATTACTAGCCCTTAACCTCTTAAAAATTGTCTTTCATTTCAAATGAAAGTTTAAGGTGGCCTTTATGTTCGATTGGTATACTTGTGCGAAGACTTAACAGCAAGGTACTGTACAATTCTAAATGTTTACTTCTTAATTTTGCTGGAAGAAATATACTACTCAATTGATTATTTTTAAAGCAAAGTAAAACAATTTATTTTGACAAGTGACACTGTATTTTCCTAGTTTTTTGGTGGCAAAGATTAGTCTTAACATCACTAATCATCAGAGAAATGCAAATCAAAACCAAAACGAGATACCATCCTACACCAGTCAGAATAGCTACTATTCAAAAATTGAAAAACAACAGATCTTGGGAGGCTGTGGAGAAAGGGGAACATTTACACATAATTGGTGCAAATGTAAATTAGTTCAGCCACTGTTCAAAGCGGTTTGGAAATTTCTCAAAGCATTTAAAATAGAATTACCATTCAAGCCAACAATTCCATTACTGGTATATAACCCAAAGAGAATCAGTTATTCTACCAAAAAGACATATGCACTTGCATGTTCATCGCAGCACTATTCACAATAGCAAAGACATGGAGTCAGCCTAGGTGCCCATCGACAGTGGATTGGATCAATAAAATGTGGTACATCTACACAGTATGATTAGGCCATTCTTGCATTGCTATGAAGAAATACCTGAGGCTGGGTAATTTATAAGGAAAAGAGATTTAATTGGCTCACATCTCTGCAGGCTGTACAGGAAGCATGGTGATGGCATCTGCATGGCGCCTGTGGAGGCCCCAGGGAGCTTTTACTCATGATGGAAGGCACAGAGGGAGTAGGCACATCACATGGTCCGAGGAGGAGCAAGAGAAAATGGGAGTGGGGGTAAGTACCACACACCCTTACACAACCAGATCTTGAAAGAATTCACTATCACAAGGACGGCATCAGGCCATGAGAGATCCATCCCCATGACCCTACCAGGCCCCACCTCCAACACTGAGGATTACATTTCATCATGAGATTTATAGGGGCCACCTTCCAAACCATTTCATACACCACGGAATACTATGCAGCCATAAAAATAACAAAATCATGTCCTTTGAAACAACATGGATGCAGCCGGAGGCCATTATCCTAAGTGAATTAATGCAGGAACATAAAACAAAATACCACATGATCCCACTTATAAGTGGGAGCTAAACACTGGGTACTCATGGACATAAAGATGGAAAGAATAAACACCGGGACTACTAGAGGGGAGAAGGAGGAAGGCAAGGTTTGAAAAACTACCTATTGGGTATTATGCTCATGTATTAATCTGTTCTCACACTGCTGTAGAGAACTACCTGAGACTGGGTAATTTATAAAGAAAAGAGGTTTAACTGACTCACAATTCCACAGGCTGTACAGGAAGCATGGCTGGGAGGCTTCAGGAAACTTATAATCATGGCAGATGGTGAAGGGGGAAGCAAGGCACGTTCTACCATGGCGGAAGGAGAGCAAGTGAGCCAGGGGGGATTTGCCATATGTTTAAACCATCAGATGTCATGAGAACTCACTTACCATCTAAGAACAACAAGGGGGAAATCTGCCCTCATGAGCTAATCACCTCCCACCATGTCATTCCCCCTACATTGGGAATTACAATTCAACATGAGATTTGGGTGGGGACACAGAGTCAAATCATACCAAATCAGCATCTGGATGATGGGATCATTCATACCCCAAAACTCAGCATTATGAGATATACCCATGTAACAAACTGGCACATGTACCCCTGAATGTAAAATACAAGTTAAAATTATTTTCAAAATAAATTAATTAATGAATAAATAAATATTATTAAATTAAATTAAAATTTTGAATTAAAAAAATTTGAGAGTGATTTCAGCTTGACAGTTATGTAAGTTATGTAAATGGAAACAGTGAGTTCTGTAAGGTTCGGATAAATTGGACTATGTGTACTAAGTTGATGTCCAGTTGTTTGGATGAAAAGAAAAGAGGAGAAACATATAGATCTAACAGGAAAAAAATGGACAAGTTTTTATGATAGCAAAAAGAAAAATGGAGGAAATAGGACTGAGATTATAGTGATTGATAGATATTAATAGACGACTAAGTCAAAAGCCACTGGTTGCAGAAAATATTGATTAATTTTGTTTTATTCCAGTCAGACAACAAAATTCTATGCCCTGCCTCCAGAGAAAAACCTTTTAGCCCTGTAATTATCTTTATTCCAAGCACCATTCCATTCATTAAGTAGTGTATACGGTGATTAATAAGTGAATTATTCACCGAATTGAGACAGAAGTTTTGAGTATTTCAGGATATTAATAGTATAGTCAATGAACTAAAATAAAATTTGACTAGAGGTGTGATCACCATGAATGCCATGTTGGTATCTTGTTAGATTTGGCAACCTAAAGTTGACAAATTTATTTATAAAATAAACATTCATTGATGATTAATTTATAATTAGTAGACATGCTCTGTCTTCTTCCTTCGTTTTCTTTTTCATTCATTCATTCATTCCTACAGAGCAGTGACTTTCATTCTAAGATTCCCAGAATCCTAAGGAATTCTTGAACGTCATCATAGGGAGCCAGGTGTGGGGATTCCCAAAAGTTGTATTTAATACTTGAAAAAATCTCGAAAAGTTATATATTTACACCAGAAACAGCTATACAGGTTTTAAGTTATGTATATATAGTTGAATATATTTTATTTCTATCCAGAACTAAGTCATTAGAGTTAGTAATGTTGATTATTTCATACTGACCTAATGGGTAGCCTTTATATATCATTGATTACTTATTAATAAAATAAGAACCACCCCCAAAATTACAAAATAAATATATTTTGTGGGTTTTTCTTAAGGCTTTTGAAACATAAAATCAGAGGAGAGGATTAAAAGTAATCCGTGATTGTTAAAAAGGCAGGAAACTACTAACTTAGAAAATTGTATGAAAACAGCAAGATATATACATGGACCTCAGACCAGCTGCCTGTTTTAATAAAGTTTTATTGGAGCACATCCATGGATCTATGGTGCTTTCCTGCTACAATGGTAGAGTTGAATGGTTGCTATAGAGACCGTATGGTTTGCAAAGCTTAAAATATTTATCATCTGGTCCTTTATAGCAAAAGTGAACCCAGTTTTAGAACATTCACTTCACAAATTAAGATACAGTGGATGCTGCCTTAACTGACCTCCACTTAACTGATTTACAATTAGCACTTTCTGGTACCCCTGTACAACTTATTGACTGATGTCCATTGCAAACTGAAAGCCTTTGAGCTACTTTTAATGCCTGTACATTTCTCCTTCCATCACAGAAATTATATAGTTTCTAAGAGGAAGCTGTGTTCATTCCTAAATATGTTTACACCATTTGTTCTTGCTCTTGTAGTTATGCAATTTAATTAAATATTATATTGGGAGGCTAAGGAGGGCGGATAACTAGGTCAAGAGATCGAGACCATCCTGGCTAACATGGTGAAACCCGGTCTCTACTGAAAATACAAAAAAATTAGCAGGGCGTGGTGGCGGGCGCCTGTACTCCCAGCTACTTGGGAGGCTGAGGCAGGAGAATGAGGTGAACCTGAGAGGCGGAGCTTGCAGTGAGTAGAGATGGCACCACTGCACTCCAGCCTGGGCAACAGAGCGAGACTCCATCTCAAAAAAAAAATAAATAAAATAAAAAATAAATATTATGTAAACTGAGAAAATGAGTACAACAAGAGTAGTATTGTTGTTTCTTTGAGAAATAAACCAAATGTGTTGGGAAAATGAGACACTCAAACAGTTGCTGCCAACTTAACAGTGGGCAAGACAACTAGAAACAAATGGGAAAAATTGTATACTCTAGGATTTCAGATTGCTTTACCCCAGTTGTCTTCACAGAAAGTGAACGAGAAATGAATGACAACATATCATTGGCATAGTTTCCACAAGAAACTCCACTCATTGAATCCGTGCAAGGCTTTGACCTTGTCATCAAAATAGTGGCAAATTTATTTACACATGTCTTTTAAATTAAAGTTGTTTTAAGGACTTACATCTAATACTTCTTATGATTCCTCCATCTAACTTAAATTTGTTATTAATCTATTTATTACTGGTCCCAATCTTATTGAATAAGGGGGTTTCTACCGTTTTTGCTAACAAAAAGTTTACTTTGATGAAGTTGGAATTATAAACACAATAATTCAAGTTTAAAGAATTAGAATGGTAATGGTTAATATAATATAGTATGCCTAAAAATCACTTGAAAAGCTTACTAACAATGCAAATTCTTGTGCCTTAGGCCTGAGATTTTGATTCAGTAGGTCTAGCATGGGGCATAGGAATCTGTATTTTTAGGAATGTTAAAGGAAAATTGCTTCAAGTAGGATAAATTATGACTTACAAATATAAAATGAACATTTGTCTAAGATTTTTGTTTAACTCATTTATTTAATGAGGGAGTCAGTAAGATGTTATAATGAGTTTTATGGAAAATTAAAAGAGCCACACATCTCTATGCACTAAGGAACACTGAAATAAATTTTCTTGATAGGTTCAAAACTGACTTCTTGATGGAAGGTGAAAAAAGGAAAATTAATTATACTTCCACCCAAATCAGTCATTTGCATGTCTATGGACAAGAATATTTGCATTACTATCAGTAATCTATGACTAACAGGATTGCAAATAACAAAGAAAACAAAAGGCAAAAAGACCCCATAGAAACAGATAACCCAGGTTATTCTAGGCAAGGCTGAGATTTCTTGAAGACACTCAGTGGTAATTTCATTGGTCCATCTTAAAATCTTTCCATTTTCTTCTGAAACAAGTTGCTCAAGCAATTCAAATACAATGAATGTGGTCAGTGGGTCACACCTGGAGAATCATTTTCTAACCTATAATCAAGACTGTTGAATTACTCCCTTCACTAGAAAGAATAAAATATTACCACATACATTTGTATTATGATAATGGCCCACTATGAATGCTTTGGCGTTCTTAATTTTCTTAAGATTTATTAATATTTCTGAAGTAACTACTAAATGCCAAGCAATATATTTTCTAATTTAATCTTTCATTGACTTTTACTTTCACTTCAATTGAGCTACTCACTTTCATGGCTATAAACTTTTCAATAACTTAAAAATTGATTTCTAATGTTATAAACTTTAATGTTCCACTCTGTGACCTGCTCTTTCAGACTCTCTCTTCCTTACTGCCAATTCACCTTCTATCTCTTCAAGTGCCCCAGTATCTTGACTCTTCCATTTTCTTTTTTTTTATTAAGTGGACACATGATAATTTCACATGTTGATGGGGTACAATGTGGTATTTTGATACATGATACATTGTTAAAACCTCTTCTCCCTAACTTTCCCAGTCTGGTAACCACTCTTCTACTCTCTATTAGATCAGTGTTTTTAGATTTCACATATGAATGAGATCATGTGATATTTGTCTTTCTGTGGTTAGCTTATTTCACTTACCACAATGTCCTCTCTACTCATTCATGTTGTCACAAATGACACGATTTTATCCTTTTTTTATGGCCAAGTGTGCATATGATATAGTTTGGATATTTGTCCTGACCCATATCTCATGTTATATTGTAATCCCCACTGTTAGAAATGGGGCCTGGTAGGAGGTGTTTGGGTCATGGAGGTGGATCCCTCATGGCTTGGTGCTATCCTCATGATAGTGAACAAGTTCTCAAGCTTCCTGAGGCCCCAGAAGCAGATGTTGGCACTATGCTTCCTGTAGAGCCCACAGAACCAGGAGCCAATTAAGTCTCTTTTCTTATAAATTATCCAATCTCAGTTATTTCTTTATAGCAATGCAAGAATGGCCAAATACAGCATATATGCCACATTTTCTTTATCCATTCATTCATTGATGGACACTTAGGTTGATTCTAGGCTATTGTGAATAGTGCTGTAATAAACATGAGAGTGCAGAAATCTCTTTGACATACTGATTTAATTTTCTTTGAATATACACCCAGTAGGGGGATTGCTGGATTATGTGGTAAGTCTATTTTTAATGTTTTTGGAAGTTATATTGTTTTCCATAACAATTGCTCTAATTTACATTTCCACCAACAGTGTATGAACATTCCCCTTTCTTCACATCCTTGCCAGCATTTGTTATTTTTTGGCTTTTTCATAAAAGGCATTCTAAGCAGGGTGAGATGATATCTCACTGTGGGTTTTTTCACTTGCATCTGTGTGAAGAGACCACTAAACTAAACAGGCTTTGTGTGAGCAATAAAGCTGTTTATTTCACCTGGGTGCAGGTGGGCTGAGTCCGAAAAGAGTCAGTGAAGGGAGATGGGGTGGGGCCATTTTATAGGATTTGGGTAGGTAAAGGCAAAAGGGGGGTTGTTCTCTGGCGGGCAGGAGTGGGGGTCACAAGGTGCTCAGTAGGGGAGCTTTTGAGCCAGGATGAGCGAGGAAAAGGAATTTCACAAGATAATGTCATCAGTTAAGGTACGAACAGGGCATTTTCACTTCTTTTATGGTGGAATGTCATCAGTTAAGTCAGGAACCGGCCATCTGGATGTGTACGTGCAGGTCACAGGGGATATGATGCCTTAGCTTGGGCTCAGAGGCCTGACATTCCTGTCTTCTTATATTAATAAGAAAAATAAAATGAATTAGTGGTAAAGTGTTGGGACAGTGAAAATTTTTTAGGGGTGGTATGGAGAGATAATGGGTGATGTTTCTCAGGGCTGCTTCGAGCGGGATTAGGGGCGGCGTGGGAACTTAGAGTGGGAGAGATTAAGCTGAAGGAAGATTTTGTGGTAAGGGGTGATATTGTGGGGTTGTTAGAGGAAACATTTGTCATTTAGAATTATTGGCGATGGCCTGGATACAGTTTTGTATGAATTGAAAAACTAAACGGAATAAGACAAGGAGAAAAACAGGTATTAAAGGACTAACAATTGGGAGGACCTAGGACATCTAATTAGAGAGTGCCTAAGGAGGTTCAGCATAGCTTTGCCAGCAAAGATTTTTTATTTACTTTAAGAGTTAAGAGTGACGGTTTGAGGGTAGCACCAGGAGATATCAGCTGTGATGGCTTGGAGAAACAGTGTAAACTGGCAGTGTAAACAAGAGCAGGGCATGTATGAGTAGTTGAGAATGGTGAATAGGAGTATGAGTAGACAGAAGATAGTAGGGATGACAAGTTTTTTGGGGCATAGTCCAAGTTGATCTGGTGTCTGGAATGAGACTGGGGCCTAATAAAAAGGAGCGTCTATACAGGAGCTCAAATGGGCTATACCTTGTAGTATTCTGAGGACAGGCCTGAATTCTGAGAAGGGAAAGTGGTAAAAGTATTGTCCAGTCCTTTTTAAGTTAGTGGCTGAGCTTGGTGAGGTGTGTTTTTAAAAGACTATTAGTCTGTTCTACTTTTCCTGAAGACTGAGGACTGTAAGGGATATAAAGGTTTCACTGAATACTAAGAGCCTGAAAAAATGCTTGGCTGATTTGACTAATAAAGGCCGGTCTGCTATCAGACTGTATAGAGGTGGGAAGCCAAACCAAGGAATTATGTCTGACAGAAGGGAGGAAATGACCGTGGTGGCCTTCTTCGACCCTGTGGAAAAGGCCTTTACCTATCTAGTGAAAGTGTCTTACCTAGACCAAGAGGTATTTTAGTTTCCTGACTCGGGGCATGTTGAGTAAAGCTAATTTGCCAGTCCTGGGTGGGGTCAAATCCTTAAGCTTGATGTGTAGGGAAGGGAGGGGGCCTGAATAATCCCTGAGAAGTAGTAGAATAGCAAATTTGCCTGTCCTGGGCAGGAGCAAATCCTTGAACTTGATGTGTAGGGAAGGGAGAGGGCCTGAATAATCCCTGAGGAGTAGTAGAATAGCAGATGGAACACTGAGAAGTTATTTCCTTGAGGATAGATTTCCACGATGGAAAGGAAATGAGAGGTTCTAAGAGGCGGGTTAGTGGCTTGTACTATAGCATAGCCTGCCTTTGCTGGTGTGTGGTGATTAGGCCTGGTGGAACTGCCATCAATAAACCAAGTGTGATCAGGGTGAGAAACAGGGAAGAAGGAAATGTGGGGAAATGGAGTGAATGTCAGGTGGATCAGAGAGATGCAGTCATGGGGGTCAGGTGTGGTATCAGAAATAATGTGGGAGGCCAGATTGAAGTTGGGCCAGGAAAAATGGTAATTGTGGGAGACTCAACAAAGAGTGAGTACAGCTGAAGGAGCTGGGAAGCAGAAAGTATATGCGTCAGGTGTGAGGAAGAAAATAGATCTTGGAAATTATGAGAGCTGTAGAGAGTGAGTTGAGCATAGTTTGTGATTTTAAGGGCCTCTAAAAGTATTAGGGTGGCAGCAGCCGCTGCATGGAGACATGATGGCCAGTCTAAAACAGTAAGGTCAAGTTGTTTGGACAAAAAGGCTACAGGACGCGATCCCAGTCCTTGTGTAAGAATTCTGACTGCACAGCCCTGCACTTCAGCTGTGTGTAATGAAAAGGGTTGGGATGAGTCAGGGAGAGCTAGAGTGGGGGCAGTCTCTAAAGCTGTCTTCAAGGAACAGAAAGAGGAGTGGGGAAAGGATTTAGGATCTATGGGGTCATGTAGGTTTCCTTTTGTGAGTTTATGTAATGGTTTTGTTAGGATGGCAAAACCAGGTATCTAAAGGCGAAAGTATCTAACCATGCCCAGGAAGGAAAGGAGTTGTTGTTTTGTAGAAGGGTTTGGGGTTTGAGAGATTGGTCAGACATGATTGGCAGGGATAGCACATGTGTTTTTATGAGAATTATGCTGAGATGGGTAACGGATAAGGAAGAAATGTGGGCTTGACTGAAGTAATGGAGGCTGTCTGTGAAGCTTTACAGCAGTACAGCCTAGGTAATTTGCTGAGCCTGATGGGTGTCAGGGTCAGTCCAAGTGAAAGTGAAGAAGGCTGGGATGAAGGGTGAAAAGGAATAGTAAAGAAAGCATGTTTGAGATCCAGAACAGACTAATGGATTGTGGAGGGAGGTATTGAGGATAGGAGAGTATATGGGTTTGGCACCATGGGGTTCATAGGCAAAACAATTTGGTTGATAAGGCATAGATCCTGAACTAACTTGTAAGGCTTGTCTGGCTTTAGGACAGGTAAAATGGGGGAATTGTAAGGAGAGTTTATAGGCTTTAAAAGGCCATGCTGTAGCAGGCGAGTGATAACAGGCTTTAATCCTTTCAAAGCATGCTGTGGGATGGGATATTGGCATTGAGAGGGGTAAGGGTGATTAGGTTTTAATGAGATGGTAAGGGGTGCATGATGAGTTGCCAAGGAGCGAGTAGAGGTATCTTATACTTGTGGGTTAAGGTCGGGGGATACAAGAGGAGGATGCAAAGGAGGCTTTGGATTGGGAAGAAGGGCAGAAATGAGATGTAGCTGTAGTCCAGGAATAGTCAGGGAAGCAGATAATTTAGTTAAAGTGTCTCGGCCTAATAAGAGAACTGGGCAGGTGGGGATAACTAAAAAGGAGTGCTTAAAAGAGTATTGTCTAAATTGGCACCAGAGTTGGGGAGTTTTAAGAGGTTTAGAAGCCTGGCTGTCAATACTTACAACAGTTATGGAGGCAAGGGAAACAGGCCCTTGAAAAGAAGGTAATGTGGAGTGGGTAGCCTCCATATTGATTAAGAAGGGGATGGACTTACCTTCCACTGTGAGAGTTACCTAAAGCTCAGCATCTGTGATGGTCTGTGGGGCTTCCGAGGTGATCAGGCAGTGTCAGTCTTCAGCCGCTAAGCCAAGAAGATCTGGGAAGGAGTCAGTCAGACAGCCTTGAGCCAGAGTTCCAGGGGCTCTGGGAGTGGCTGCCAGGTGAGTTGGACAGTCCAATTTCCAATGGGGTCCTGCACAGATGGGACATGGCTTAGGAGGACATGGCTTAGGGCTGTGGGCATTTCTTGGCCTGGTGGCCAGATTTCTGGCACTTGTAGCAAGCTCCTAGTGGGGGCGGTTCTGTAGGAATGCATGGCCACTGCGGTTTAGGCATTTGGAAGTTCTTGTGTGCTGGAGATGTGGCTGGGGTTTGTCTCACAGTGGAGGGAAAGAATTGCAACTCAGAAATATGTTGCTACTTGGCTGCCTCTACTCTATTATTGTACACCTTGAAGGTGAGGTTAATTAAGTCCTGTTGTGGGGTTTCAGGGCCAGAATTTCATTTTAGGAGTTTTATTTAATGTCGGGAGCAGATTGGGTAATAAAATGTATGTTGAGAATAAGACGGCCTTTTGATCTTTTAGGCTCTTAGGGCTGTAAAACATCTCAGGGTTGCTGCCAAACGAGCCATGAACTGGGCTGGATTTTTATATTTGATGAAAAAGAGCCTAAACGCTATCTGATTTGGGATAAAGAAAAAGGAGCATTAACCTTGACTATGCCTTTAGCTCCAGCCACCTTTTTAAGAGTAAATTGCTGGGCAGGTGGGGGAGGGCTAGTCACAGAATGAAACTGAAAGCCAGACCGGGTGTGAGGAGGCGAGGTGATAAAAGGATTATAGGGTGGAGGAGCAGAGGCTGAGGAAGAATTGGGACCTAGCTCAGCCTGGTGAGGAGGGGAGAGGTCAGATGGGTCTGTAGAAAAGGAAGATTAGAAAGACTCAGCAATGCTTGGGGTTGGGACTGAGGGGACAGGTGGGAGGGAAAGAAGGAAGATTTGGGATGAGTTACATTGGGAACAGAGACTAGGGAGGGACTGATGTGTAAAAGAATGCCTGGACATCAGGCACCTCAGACCGTTTGTCTATTTTATGACAAGAATTATTTAGATCTTGTAGGATGGAAAAATTGAAAGTGCCGTTTTCCAGCTATTTGGAACTACTGTTGAGTTTGTATTGGTGTCAAGTGGCATTGCAGAAGAAAATAAGATGCAAGATGCTTAGATTTTAGGTCAGGTGAGAGTTGAAGAGGTTTTAAGTTCTCAAGAACACAGGCTAAGGGAGAAGGAGGAATGGAAGGTGGAAGCTTTCCCATAGTGAAGGAGGCAAGCCTAGAGAAAAGAGAGTAGAGACACGGAGAAGGGGTGGGGGGTTCTTGCCCTCCAGAAAAGCAGAGAAGGGGTTGGGGCGTGGAAATAAGGAGCTGGGGCACAGAGATAAGAGGTCGGGGCACGGAAATAAGGGATCGGGGCACAGAGATAAGAGGTTGGGGTTCCTGCCCCTCCTCCAGAAAAGCAGAACTTGCCATTAAGGGTGAAGGAGAAGGGGTTGAGGGGTTCTTTCCCCTCCCCCAGAAAAGTGGAGAAGGGGTAGAGACATGGAGAGAAGGGATTGGGGTTCTTGCCCCTCCCCCAGAAAAGTGGGACTTGCCACTAAGGGTGAAAGACCAAGGCAGGCATCCCTGTGTGGTCTGACACCTCTGAAACCTGGGTGAATAATCAGAGAGGCGTCCCTGCAATGATTAAACACCAATGGAAGGCTGCCTTCCCTAGTCTGTGACCAGCACCAGGGTTTTGGGTCCATGGATAAAACGTGTCTCCTTTGTCTCTACCAGAAAATGAAATGAATTGAAATTAAGAGAAGAGAGAGATTGAAGTGTGGCACCAAGATTGAAAGGAGAAAGAGGTTGAGGGATAGTGAGGGAGGTTGGAGAAGAGAGTAAAAAGAGGCTACTTACCGGATTTGAAATTGGTGAGATGTTTCTTGGGCTGGTTGGTCTGAGGACCTGAGGTTATAGGTGGATCTTTCTCACGGAGCAAAGAACAGGAGGACAGGGGATTGATCTCCTAAGGGAGGTCCCCCGATCTGAGTCACGGTACCAAATTTCACTCGCGTCCATGTGAAGAGACCATCAAACAGGCTTTGTGTGAGCAATAAAGCTGTTTATTTCACCTGGGTACAGGTGGGCTGAGTCCGAAAAGAGAGCCAGTGAAAGAAGATAGGGGTGGGGCCATTTTATAGGATTTGGGTAGGTAAAGGAAAAAGGGGGGTTGTTCTCTGGTGGGCAGGAGTGGGGATCACAAGGTGCTCAGTAGGGGAGCTTTTGAGCCAGGAGAAGGAATTTCACAAGATATTGTCATCAGTTAAGGTAGGAACAGGCCATTTTCACTTCTTTTGTGGTGGAATGTCATCAGTTAAGGCAGGAACCAACCATCTGGATGTGTACGTGCAGGTCACAGGGGATATGATGGCTTAGCTTGGGCCCAGAGGCCTGACAGGTTTGACTTGCATTTCTCTGATTATTAGTGATGGTGAGCATTTTTTTCATATACCTGTTGGTGATTTTTATGTCTTATTTGGAGAAATGTCTATTCAGCTCTCTTGACTATTTTCTAATCCAATTATTTGTATTTTTGCTATTGAGTTGTTTGAGTTTTCTATAAATTTGGGATATTAACCCCTTATCAAGTGAATAGTTTGCAGATATTTTCTCCCATTTTGTAGGTTGTCTGCTTACTCTTGTGATTGTTTCCTATGCAGTGCAGAAGTTTTTATTTGGTGTAATCCCATTTGTTTATTTTTGCTTTTGTTGTGCATGTCTTTCGATGTCTTTTCTAAAAAGTCCTTGCCCAGACCAATGACATATAACATTTCACCTATGTTTTCTTCTACTAGTTTCATAGTTTGGGGTCTTACATTTAAATATTTAATTTATTTTGAGTTGGTTTTTGGATATGATGAGAGATAGGGGTCTACTTTCATTCTTTTGTATGGGGATATCCACTTTTCCCAGCACCATTTGTTGAAAATACTGTCTTTTCCCCATTGAATGTTTGCATCTTTGTCAAAAATAAGTTGCATGTAAACGTGTGGATTTATGCCTGGGCTCTCTATTTTTGTTCCACTGGTCTGTGTCCCTGTTTTTATGCCAATACCATGCGTTTTAGTTAGGATAGCTTTGCAATACATTTTGAAATTAGATAGTGTAATACCTCTAGCATTGCTCTTTTTGCTTAAGATTTATTTGGCTATTTGGGGTGTTTTGTAGTTTCACATGGATTTTAAGATCTTTTTTAATATCTGTGAAGAATGAAATTGGAAATTTGATAGAGATTATATTGGATCTATAGATTGATTTGAGTAGTGTGGTCATTTCAACAATATTAATTCTTCTAGTCCATGAATATGGGGTATCTTTCTATTTATTTTAATTTTTTTCAATTGCTTTTATCAATGTTTAATAATTTTCATCTTTCCGTGGCTTAATTTGCTTGTAGGTATTTTGTTTTTTTTAATAGCTATTTTAAATGGGATTACTTTCTTGATTCCTTTTTCAGATAGTCTGCTATTGGTGAATAGAGATGTTACTGATTTTTTATGTTGCTTTTGTATCTTGAAACCTTATTGTATTCATTTACTATTTCTGATTCTCAGTGGGGTATTTAGGGTTTTTTACATATATGATCATGTCATCTGCAAAGAGGGACAATTAGACTTTTTTTTCCAATTTGGATGCCTTTTATTTCTTTCTCTTACCTAATTGTTCTGACTAGGACTTCCAGTACTATGTTGAAAAAAGTGATTAAAGTGAACATCCTTGTCTTGTTCCAGATCCTAGAGGCAAAGCTTTCAACTTTTCACCATTCAGTATAATGTTGCCTGTGGGTTATCACATATGGTCTTTATTTTATTATGTTCTTTTATAACTAATTTGTCAAAAGATTTGATCATAAAAGGATGTCTAATTTTGTCATATGCTTTTTCTGCATCTATTGAAATGATTATATGTTTTTTATCCTTCATTGTTTAATGTGATGTATCACAGTTATTGATTTACATGTGTTAGACCATCCTTACCTCCCCGGGTAAATACCACTTGATTATGGTGAATAATCTTTTTAATGTGCTTTTGAATTATCATTGCTAGCACTGCTGGTTTTGAATGTTTGCATGTATGTTTATCAATGATATTGGCCTGGAGTTTTATTTGCTGTTCTTGTCTCATTTTGGATTCAGGTAATGCTGTCTTCATAGAATGAGTTTGCAAGAGTTCCCTCCTTTTCATTTTTTTGAAATAGTTTGTAAATAATCTGTATAAGTTTTTAAAATATTTTGTAGAATTTGTCAGTGAAAACCATCAAGTCATGAACTTTTCTTTCTTCTTCTATTTTTTTAGAGACAGAGTCTCACTCTATCACTGAGGCTGGCATACAGTGGTGCAGTCGTAGCTGACTGCAGCCTCAAACTCCTGGTCTTAAGTGATCCTCCTGCCTCAGCCTCCTGAGTATAAGTACACACCACTATACCTGGGGAATTTTTATTTTTATTTTTAGAGATGGAGTCCCGTTGTGTTGCCCAGGCTAATCTTGAACTCCTGGCCTCTAGTGATTCTCCTGCCTTGGGATCCTAAAATGTGAGATTACAGGTGGGAGCTACTGTGTGAAGTCTTTTGGATTTTCCTTGACTGACAGACTAAATCACTCCTTCAATCTCATTATTTGTCATTGGTGTGTTCACATTTTCCATTTCTTCTATCTTCAATTTTGATAGGTTATATGTGTCCAGAGCATATGTATTTCTTCTAAGTTTTTCAATTTATTGGTGTATAATTGTTTGTAGTACTTACTCATGATTCCTTGTATTTCTGTAGTGTCCATCATAGCATATCCTTTTTCATTTCTGACTTTATGTGAATTTTCTCTTTTTTTCTTAGTCTGACAAAACGTTTGTCAATTTTACCTTTTCAAAAAAGATTCTTTAATTAATCATTTGTATTTTTTGTCTTCATTTTGTATATTTGTGCTCTGATCTTTATATTCTTTTGCTAATTTGGGTCTTAGTTTGTTCTTGATTTTATAGTTCCTTGAAATACATAATTAGAGGGTTTATTCATTATCTTTCTTCTTTATTGATGTAGAAATGTATTGCTATAAACTTCCCTCTAAGGACTGTTTTGCTGTATCTCATAAGTTTTCATATGTTCTGATTTCATTTTTATTTGTCTTAAGACATTTAAAAAAATTTTTTTTTTCATTGACCCGTTGGTTGTTTAGGGATATATTGTTTAATTTATATGTATTTGCACAATTTCTGAAGTTTCTCTTATTGTTTATTTCTAGCTTTATTCCATATGGTCAGAAAAAATATGTGATATGATTTGATTTTTTGATTAGCTAAGACTTGTTTTGTGGTCTAACATATCTATCATGGACAATATTCCATGTGCAGATGAAAAGACTGAATTATTCAATTGTTGGATGAAATGTTATGTAAATAACTGTTAAATTCTTTTGACCTAGAGTGCAGTTTAAATGTTTCCTTGTTGACATTCTCTCTCAATGATCTGTTCATTACTGAAAATGGGATGTCAAGGTTTTTTACTATTATTGCACAGTTTTTTGTCTCTCCTTTTAGAACTATTAATGTTTGCTTTATATATTTAGGTTCTCCAATGTTGAGTGCATTATGTATTTACAATTATTGTATTCTCTTGTTGTACTGACCCCTTTATTATTACATAATGGCCTTGTTTGTCTGTGTTTATAGTTTTTTTACTTGAAGTATATTTTATTTGATATAAATATACCTACTCCTGCATTCTTTTGATTTCCATTGTCGTAAAATATATTTTTCCATCTGATCACTTTCAATTTATGCGTGTATTTAAAGGTGATGGGAGTCTCTTGTAGAAAGAATATAGTTAGGTCTTGTTTTTAATCCATTTACCCATTCTCTGTCTTCTTACTGGATAATTTAATCTATTTACATTCAAGGTAATTATTGATAGATAAGGACTTGTACTGCCGTACGTGGTTTTCTTGTTGTCTTTTAGAATTTTTGTACCTTTTTGTTCCTTTATTGTCTTCCTTTGTAGTTAAGTGATTTTTTCTGTGTGTTTTTGTTTCTTGTTCTTTTATTTTTAGTGTATCTATTAAATATTTTTGCCTTTTGGTTTCTATGAGGCATGTGAAGAATATTTTATGGTTTCAACAGGTAATTTGAATGGATAACAACTTAATTTTGATAATAAGAAATGGGGAAAAACAATCACTCTGCTCTTTAACTCAATCACTCCCCCACATTTTGCATTTTTGATGTCTGAATTTACATCTTTTATATCACTTATCCCTTAACAAATTATTGTAGTTGTTATTATTTTTGTTTTGTATTTTAACCTTCTTACTAAAAATATGTAAGTGGTTTACATTCAATTATTACTATATTAGAGCATTCTGAATTTGTCTGAATATTTATTTTTACCTGTGGATTTATACCTTCCAATTTTTTGCATTACATATTAGTGCCCTTTTCTTTCACTTTGAAGACGGTTCTTTAACATTTTTTTTAAGGCAGGTATGGTTACAATGAATTCCTTCATCTTTTGTTTGTCTTAGAACGTTTTAATCTCTCCTTCATTTCAAATGAGAGCTGTTCTGGATACTACATTCATGGTTGACAGTTTTTTTCTTCAGCACTTGATTCTATTATCCTACTCTCTCCTGGCCCACATTGCTTCTGCTGAGAAGTCTGCTGCCAGGCACATTATGTATTATATGCTTCCTTTTTCTTAGTGCTTTCAGGACCTACTCTTTGTTTTTGACCTTTGAAAGTTCAATTATAATATATCTTGTGGTTGTCTTATTCAGATTAAATCAGATTAGTGCGCTTTGGCCATCCTAAACATCTTAATGTTTCTCTAAGTTTAAAAAGTTTTCTGTTATTTCTCTGAATAATTTTCTAACTCTTTTTCATTCTCAGTTCCACTTTAACACTGTAGATTTTTTTTTTTTGATGGTGTCCCATGGATCTCATAAGTTTTCTTTGTTTCTTCTCATTTTTTTCTCTTTTCTACTCTTGACAGTGTATTTTCAAAGAGCCTGTCTTTGAGCTCACTGTTTTTTTCTTCTACTTGATCAGTTCTGCTTTTGATGCCCTCTAGTGCATTTTTCAATTTGTTTACTGAACTTTCCAACTCCAGGATTTCCACTTGATTTTTTCCCATTATTTTAAATTCTTTGTTGAATTTCTTATAAATTTCCATATTGTTTCTCTGTACTTTGTTGAAGTTCACCGATTTTTTTTTTAAAATCAGCTATTTGAATTTTTTTTGTCTGCCACATCATTCATTTGCATGTCTTTAGGTTCAGTTGCTGACACCTTATTTTCTCCATTTGGTGAGGCAGTTTTTCCTAGGCTATTCTTATTTTTTGTAGATGTATATCTCTGTCTACACATTGATGAATTAAATATTTATTTCAGTCTTCTCAGTCTGGGTTTGTTTTTGACTGTTTCTCAGTGGGCTTGTTTAGAAATTCGGTGTGGATTTCCATTATATTCCATTTTAGCATTAGGAGGTGCCCAAAGCAAAGGTTAGACATAAGTCTCACAATGGGGCTTCACCACTGATGCAATGTAACTGAATGGGCCCATGGGTGATCCACAGAAAGGCTCCTGGCTGTGGGGGAGAACAAGTCAGGCTATCAAATCTGGACAGTCTGTGTATCATGTTTCCCACAGCATGGTGCCCATAAACAACCTCTCTGGTGTAGTGTTTCCTCTGGTAGGAATGGCTAGCCACTGCTAAGTTTCATATAATGAGTATTGCTAACCCAACCCCTTCTCTATGTCCCTAGCATGCCTCGGGCGGTTCAGCTCTGTTGACACTCATGGTGCTGCTTGTGGGCTGATGCAGGAGTCTACTGTGAAGGGACTCAGTATGGTGGAAAAAAATATTCAACTTCTGCTCACTTTATTCAGTGTAAGAACTGTAAGGAGGACTTTCTGCATATAATACCATTATGGCCTGGGGGAGGAGTATCACAGTCACAGAGTACTGGTTCCCTTACTGTCCAAGCATGGTTCTACTCTTTGCAGTCCAAAGGGGCTTCATAGACTGACTCATGTATTCAGGGTTCGTTAGCTCTTGTAAAGGTAATTTTATATGTGGATAGTTGTTCATATAGATGTGTCCGTAGGGGTAAGATTACTGGAGAGATCGACTCCACTACCTTGCTCTGCCCAAATCCTTCCCCTTTCCAACAAGAGTTTGCCACCTCCTAGTTTTCTTTTTTCTTAACCAAACTAAGTTTAGCCTTTTAATCCTTAACTCTCCTCCACTTCTAATGCCATTGCTTCTTTGTATGCTTATTGTATTTTCCATGCTATATGACTTTCAGCTGGTTATTTACAGTATGTAAGTTTTAATATCCTGTAAAAGGGGGATAATAATAGCATCCATTTGATAGGGATGTTAAAGATATTAAATGACACTGTCCATGTTAAATAACTTTTTAAGATATATTGAGATGTTTCTGTACTTCCTTGTTCTGGCCTTCTTGTTGAACCAGAGAAATCTATTGCCATGAAAAGCAATAAAATTGTGATAGTAGAAATTAAAAGTGAGTAGGAACTTATTTAAAAATCATCATTCTCCTTTTCAATGCAAAAATAAGAACTAGAAACTTTTAATAAGGCAATAGTCTGAAGAAATAACTTATGGAAGAGAACATGGGTTTTTTAATCCTAAAGGGTTCTTTTATATATTCAAGGGTCGAGATTGCCTGCCTTGTATCCTACTAAAATTTCAATGCAAGTTTCAGAGAGGGAGGAAAGAGTCAAAGAAAAAATTGCACTGGAAAAAGTTAAATAAGTAAGGAAGATATTATTCAACAGGGGAGAGAGGCCAGAACCTAGTCTGAACTCAGCTCCCCTGATACAAAGGGCAGTGGAGTTTTTGAAAGCGAGAGTAAGGGGGTGATCATAGGCCACCTGTCTTTGCTAACTGTCTTTTCTCAAAGGAAAAATAAACTTTCTTTTATCTTTATAATATAAGGTAATTTTTACAACTTGGAGCAAGATTAGGCTCTTACTCTCTCATAGAGACTGGGAAATAAGGTATTATCTTTCTGGAGGATTACATTTGAAAGGGATGGCTCCCAGATCCTTGAAAAAGGAAATTTTCTGCTAACAAGTTACACATGCCACTTCTACCTACATTTCACTGGCCAAACCGGTCACATGTCTAAATCTGACCCTTACTTCAATAGGACAGAAATGTATAATCTTCTAGGAGATAGGGCCACTGCAGTAGGAAGACCAGATAATGGGAGAATGGTAATATAATCTACCACATTGACCACAATGAAAACATTAGTAATCCCCAGGGTTAAACCGAGTCTTCTTGGACACTTAGGTTGATTCTAGGCTATTGTGAATAGTGGAATAATAAAAAATAAAGAGAATAGCCCCTTTATTTATTGCAGAGAAGCTAGACAATTCACAGTAACTTATGGCCTAGACAATTTTATTTCTTGATCAACACAACTCTTTATAGATGCCTGTGGTCCAAAAATGCGGATTCCTAATCATCCCCAAGAAGAAAGGATCCACTGCAAGGCAACCTGGGAGGGAGTTTGGGATGGTTCTGAGGCAGTGAAAGCCATTGAAATTCACACGTAAGAGGGTAGAGAAAGGGAATTCACATGTTTTGGTCCCTCCATGTGCTGGATATAACTTGGTCTTCATTACATTGCACCACCTTTGGTGTCAGAGAGAACTGGATTTGAATCCCAGTTCCATCACTCACTATGATTTGATGGTCAATGTGTTTTTAACTCGTCTGAGCCTCAGTTTGCTCATCTATAAAAGATGGGATTGTTACGAGGCTTGCATAAGGTAAGTGTATAAAAATCTGGGAATAATGCCTATAATTTAATAGACGGGGTTGTGATGAGGCTTCAATAAGGTAAGTGTGTAAAAATCTGGACACAATGTTATTAATTTTGTAGGTTTTCAATATATAGAGAAGGAGGATTATTTTTCTCTCATTTAATTTTTAGAACAAGTTTATAAAATTGGTATTATTCATATTTTTGAGATAAAGGATCAGTAAGTTTAAATAAATCACCATAGTCACAAAGCAGTTCACAATATATTGACTGGACAATTGCTAGTGAAAAGTAGCAATGATGATCACATTGAAAATCTTGTGTTAGGTGGTGGTTTTCTCTTGCATAAGCCTCTTCATTTGTTCAAACCATAGATTCTAAGTTGCTCTATTAAAGTGATCATTAGAAAAATATAATGTACTTAGTGTATAAGTTTTAGAAAATTTCCTTTGTTAGTCCTGTTAATTTGATTGAATATGTGCATTTTGAATTATGAATATAAATATGAATATGTATGATATATGAAATATGACTTGACGTCACAGAGTAACATTAGGTCGTGGCAATGTTTTTTTCTGAAAGCACCTGCAGAAATGTGTCTTCTTTCTAGTTTCCAAAAAACTCAGAGGCCATGGGGGAAGAGGGGACTTTGACTGTCAGATAGTGCATGAGGTACATTAGCATACAGTAATTTAATCATAATTCATATTCATAATTCACAGTGAGGAAACCTGAAAGTTGCTACCAGCTACCAATAAATGAAAGGTGGGGCGGCATCACTGGGGGGCGCGGTTTTGTGAGCCAGTGCCTGGACTTCCACATCACAAATGGAAGGGCAGCACGTGGAGGGAACTCAAGGCCTGATTGGTTCTTCCTAAGCAGTACGCGATCTGGCTGGCAGGGCAACCGGCCTTCCGTTGGTGGCCTTCAGTTAGTGCCTTCAGTGGGTGCCTTAAGTTGGTGGCATTTGGTTGCCTTTCCTGGGGAGAGGTGGCAGGTGCTCAGCTCTGCAGACGTGGGGGCAAGCGAAGGCCCAAGCTGCCTCGAGAAGAGCAGAGGTGCCCCATGGGGACCACGATGACGAGTTGCATGTGCACCAAAGCCAGCCCCCGGCAGGGTCAGCGCAGGGATTCTGCGGGGCCGTCCTGTGGCTCTGACATCTATGAGTGGGCGGCCAGCAGAGGCACAGGCACCAGCAGAGAGGAGCAGAGACGCCCAGAACACACTGTCCCCCAATGCCAGCCCCAAGCGGGGCCAGCTCAGGGTGCGGTGGGCAGAGCCATCCTGCAGCTCTGAGATCCGCAAGGTGGAGGTGGGAGTAGCGCCAGGCTCCACTGTGTTGGAGCTTGCCCCGTTTGAGCCCAATTTGATTCCGGAGCCATGACCTGCAGCACATTGGCGACCAGAAGACACCCAAAGGTAAGGAGGCGACAGATACCGCTTGGCCTCAGGACCTCCTCTGGCCATTGCTGAACCAAGGTTCCCCCAGAGACATCCACAGCCTGGGGCTCCTCCCTTCTTCACCTAGTTCCTTTCCTAGGTCCAGGCCCCAAGCATGAGGACTGGCTCTGCCTGGCGTCCCCACCCCTTCGTCTTCCCCTTTTGCATCCAGCCGGTTTCTTTTTCCCTCCCTACCCAAATGCCCAATTCTGGGTCCTTTTGTTCCCAGAGGCTGGCCAAAAACTAAGTTTTCAAAATACAAAATGGATGCTACAGATTTCGTTGCTGTAGAGGAAATGTCTGGCAGCTCTTGAATTTAAGCTTAAGTAGCTACACTGGGATTCACAATTTCATATCTTGAGTTCTAGACCAGAGCTCTCTACCCTAAAGCAATGACAGGGGGTTAGAGGTACTCTTCTTGATTCTAATAATAAAAAATGATTTTTTTGTAGGGACAAGGTCTCACTGTGTTGCCCAAGCTGGTCTCAAACCCCTGGCCTTAAGTGATTCACCCACCTTGGCCTCCCACACTGTTGGGATGACAGGCAAGAACCACCACACCTGGCCATTGGAGGTGCTATTGCTTTGTGTGGTTGGGCTGGTCTTCAGGCACAGCTGTCAGTAAGATCCTCCTGCGGTATAGTTCTAAGTTTTTCTGCACAAATTCAGTGGATCCTGTGATTTTTTTACATGGAATAGCCCCTTTATTTTTTGCAGAGAAGCTAGACAATTCACAGTAACCTATGGCCTAGAAAATTTTATTTCTTGATCAACACAACTGTTTATGGATGCTCGTGGTCCAAAAATGCAGATTCCTAATCACCCCCACGAATAAGGGGGCCATTGCAAGGCACCTGGGAGGGAGTTTAGGATTGCTCTGAGGCAGTGAAAGCTATTGAAATTCCCACATGAGGGGGCAGAAAAGGGAATCCACATGTTATGATCCCTCCATGTTCTGGGTGTAACTTGGTCCTTGTTAAATTGCACCATTTTTGGCATCAGAGAGAACTGGATTTGAATCCCAGTTCCGTCCCTCATTATGATTTGATGGTGAATGTGTTTTTAACTCGTCTGAGCCTCAGTTTGCTCACCTATAAAAGATGTGATTGTTGCGAGGCCTCCATAACATACATGTGTAAAAATCGTGGCAAAATGCTTGTAATTTAAAAGAGAGGGTTGTTAGGAGACTTCCATCAGGTAAGTATGTAAAAACCTGGACACAATGCCTATAATTTTGTAAGTGTTCAGTATGTGGAGAAGGAGAATTATTTTTCTCTCATTTAATTTTTAGAGCAACTTTATAAAATTGGTGATACTTATATATTTGAGATAATCAAACCAAGGATCAGAAAGACTAAATAAATCACCATAGTCACAAAGCAGTTCACAATACATTTACTGGATATTTTCTAGTTAAAAGTAGCAATGATGATCACATTGAAAATCTTATATTATGTGGTGGTTTTCTCTTACATGAGCTTCTTGGAATTTAGTAAGATAACTTGCAGCTCAAAAAGCAGATCCGTAGAATATTTTATTCAAGAGATTGTAGTGGGGGCCAAAGTATTGCATGAGTTTTGTTGGGAACAAGGTGTAGGCTGAGAATCTTAGCAAACTTCAGTTGGTGGTTTTCAGCTGGTGGGCAGTGGTGGAAGGAGGAGGAGCTCCGTCTGTGCTCTCTCTTACCCCAGTCACAGCCCTCAGGCTTGTTGCATCCAGGCCCTTCTGAGTTAAACCCGACAGGTTGACAGGTTTATTTAGCATTTAGCAGACAAGTCAGCTCAGGGTAGGCAGGTAAGGTGGGGTGTAGGCTGCTAGTACAGTGCTGCCCTGTGGCCCAGGGCTGCCCATGCCCGTGGGGCTATTCCATATATTATATATTATATATATAAAATTATATATATATAAAATTATATATATATAAAATTATATATATATGTATATAAGCCTGTTGGTTTGTTGAAAGCATGGATTCTAAGTTGCTCTATCAATGTGATCATTAGAAAAATGTGATGTACTTAGTGTGTAAATTTTAGAACAATTTCTTCTGTTAGTCTTGTTAATACTCAGTTCTTTTCTAAAACACCTAGCCCAAATCTCCATAGGTTTTAATCGAATTATATTATAATTTGGATTTTCTGGTCTGCCTATCTTCCAAACAATAAACTCCTTAAAATCAATTTTCTATTGCTGCCATAACAAATTACCACAACTTTGTGGCTTAAATCAAAGACTTACGACCCTATAGTTCTGTAGGGCAAACCTCTGACCGTGGTCTTACTGGGCTTAACTCAAGGTATTGTCAGGGCTGTATTGCTTTCTGGAGGCTCTAGAGAGAATCCATTTCCTTTTCCAACTTGTAGATGCTGTCCCCATTCCTTGGATCATAGGACCATCCCTCTATCTTCAAAGCCAGTAATGTGGGATATCTGTGACCATTGTTCTGTGGTCATGTCACCTTCTGACTGCAGCTAGGAAAGATTCTCTGATTTTATATTCTGTGGTCATGTCACCTTCTGACTGCAGCTAGGAAAGATTCTCTGATTTTATAGACACATGCAATTAGATTGGCCCCCAAGATAATCAAGGATAATCCCCCTAACTCAAGGATTAATCACATCTACAGAATCCATTTTGCCCCATGTAAAGTAATATGGTCACAGATTCCAGGGACTAGAACATCTTTATGGGGTCATTATTTTGACTGTCACAAAGGCAAAGTCTTGGACTTACTCATATCTAGATTTTCTTTGCTTAATTTCAGAGCCTAGAACACATTAGACTCTAAATAAATGGGAATGAGTGATAAATATTTTAATTTACAGATTGCTGCCACATTGCAATTCTGTCCTCCCACTGGTGGTGGAATCCTATGTACTTTTTTTACCATCTCCATTTTGCATTCAGACTGAACATGGCTATGTTATTCCCTTCACCTGGGTGATGTGAAACCATCTCTCTATTTCTATTTGTAGAGATCTTATCTATCAAGCCCTTCTCAAATGCCGCTTCATATTACTTTTTCTAATCCCCAGTTGTCTTAGTCAATTTATGCTCTTATAGTGAAATAACAGAGACTAGGCAATTTATGAAAACCAGACATTTATCTCTCACAGTTCTGGAGACTAGGAAGTCCAAGATCAAGGTGCTGGCAGGTCTGATGTTTGGTAAGGGCTGTTCTCTCCTTTCAAGATGGTGTCTTTATGCTGCATCCTCCAGAGTCAAGGAACACTGTGTCCTCACATGGTGGAAGGTGGGAGGGCAAGAGGAATGAACTCCCTCCATGAAGCCCTTTCATGAGGGCTCCTAAACCCATTCCTGAGGTAGGAGTCCTGATGGCCTAATCACTTCCTGTAGGCTCCACCTCAACACTATCACATTGTCAACGCTGAATCTCGGAGGAGGCACAGTGAAACCACAGCACCAATCAAGTATGATCTTCCTCTCCTCAGAAACCCCCTCATATGTTTAGACCTCCCATGCACTTTTATACATTTTGTCTCATGGTTTTTTCCTGTACTAATAAGGTGCTATAAATGGATAGCTATAGTTTTGGGTTTCATTTCAACAAAACACCCTTCCTAGTTTTTTGAACCCCAAGCAAAGTATGAGGACAGGCCCCACCTTCCATTACAAAAGCTGAAAGGGAGTGCATGATCCTTTTTCCAGTTTCTTGGCCACTCAAGTGTGGGCACATATCTAGGCCCAGCCAATGGATGTCTCTTTATTAGAACTTGGAACCCGACGAAATGATGCAAAAGACCTGAAAGAATCAGAGATGATTCTGAGCAACTGAGCAGAGATGCAGGTCCAGGAATGTGGCAGGAAGTGCCTAAGTTCAGCAGAGCCCAGCTACATGGTGATGAGTGTCAAATGGCAACATCCTAGTTGTGGCATCCCAAGATCTGCTTCCGTAGGATGAACTTGGCTGTGCCAAGTTTCCCTCAGCTCTTACCTTGCTTCTCCAGCATCTTCAGTGATTTTGTGAACTATTCAGTATCCTTTCATTGAATTCCTATTTTGCTTAAGTTGTCTAGAATTTATTTGTTATTGTCAGTGAAAAATATAAACCAATTATCCCCTCACATTAAAACACACTCCACTTAGGCATCTCCTGTGATCTCACTGGAGAAAAGTGTGGATGTTATTTTTAATTTGACTCAGAATGATAGGATTAGTTGGCACTAGTAACAATGGAGATAAGTAACTAACTTTTTGTGAAACTTCCTGGGGTGAAACAAAATCTATTGTGGAAACTGTTTACAATCATCTCTGGAAATTTATTAAGTGACCTAGTATATAATGATAATTTACCATGATATTTGATAAAATAGTTTTGTGCATTCAGAATAATTTCTTTTTTCTTTACCTTTGAAAATAACGCATTGATAGTTAATTCTCTCCTAAATTGTCTGTTTTTATTTCCATAAAAGGTATTTATTGAATGTCTCTTTACTTTTAATATAACTAGGCATTGTGTGATCAAAGTAAAATTAATATGTTCTTGTTTCCGGAATTACTACCGCTTTGAAAATGGACTTATCTACCTCAAACCAATGGGACATATTCCCATGTGGCCTGCTCACCTATTAGGGTTCCCAGGGTAAGTGGTGATTCCTGTTCTATCTTTTTAAAGATTTTAGAAATGCAGCTTCTGCTGTGGGCCACTAGGCGGAGTACTTCAGAGCAGGGTTTGTGGGAGTACAAAGCTAACTTCCGCTGCTTTTGCTTGATGCTTCTGTAGCTTCCTTGACTACTGTGGATGATAAGTAACCATTTTCTTCCCTTCTTTTCTTTTTCCCCTCACTCTTCGGAGTGAACTTGAAACATCTAGGAAGTTTGTTGATCAACATATACCGTGTTTATGAAAATCCAGCTATGATAATATGGTAGGACTCCTTTGGTTATAAATAATAGAATTCAAACTCAAACTGGTCTAAGCCAAAAAAAAAATATTAATTTGTGGACTCGTATAATGGAAAAATCCAGGGTGTAGCTTCAGAATGGCTGAACGTAGGGACTCAGGACTTAGCTCTTCTCAGCTTTCTTGCTTTTTTCTTCCCCATTGACTTTATTCTCAGACAAGTTTTCCCTTTGTTCTGCAATGTGGCCATCATCACTCCTCCAGTTTACACTTCCTTAGTTCCACAGCCCCAGAATAAAGCAAACACAGAAACACTTCTAATAGTCTCAATAAGAGACTAGAGATTGACTTTGGGTGTGACGCTTGGATTTCATGTCCGTCTCTAGTCTGATCTGTGCCAGGATTAGAAGTATATTTATTGGCCAGGCCTGTGTCATGAGCTCATACAGAGTTTGCACTGTCCACACAGTGCCTTTGCAAGTATTAGAAAATGGCTACCCTTTCTGCAGTTAGATGCAGCCCTGTATCGGGGCATGTGGCTTGGAGAAGAGCATGTAGGCCGGATTTCAGCCCCCCTTTCTCCCTTAGCTGGGTTTCTTCCTTGAGTGAACAACATACTTGTTAGTAGCTGTCCTGTGCTTATTCCTGAAACTGGGGGTGAAATCAGCCCCCACGCCAAAACTGAAGGACAGAAGGTGGCTTCATCTAGGGTATCAGATAAAGGCTAATAACAAAGGGAGGGGACAGTGGGTGCTGTGTGGGCAAAAGGAACAAAAAATAATCGTAACCTGTCTAGACTTCATCTCAGAAACCATATGCAACCTTCTTCAATGGAAATATTTAACACTTCAAGAGTGCCAAGAAGGTTATAAGGAGCATATCTCTTAAGGACCTAAGTTAGGAGATTCTAGAATGTATGCTTTATGGATTTACCTTATAAATATATAACATTGACAAATGCACACAGAAAATATATTGCAGAGTAACACAGATGAAATACTTGAAATACATGACATTCTGCCACAGTCTATCATTATTTTCTAACTTATCAAAAGACTCAGAGGATCTTTTTTTTTCCATATTGATAAATTTCTAACCAGAGCCCTATTTACTCGTGTCTTGAAAAACAGACTATTTGCAAATATGTCTGAAGAGGGAAGAGAAAGAAAATGATTCCAAAAAAGCTGATAACATTAAGACAGCTTTTAATAGAAGATGTTAATTTGCAACCACAAATTAAAAACTTATAGGAGATACACAAAATGTGAAGAAGAAGAAAAGAAACCAAACCACTACAAGAAATAACCAAACATAAGAAGACAGCAAGAGAGGAAAAAAAAAAGAACTGCAAAACATATGAAAAACAATTAACAAAATGCAAGTTACTCCTTACCTATCAACAATGACTTTAAATGTGAAAGGATTAAACTATCTAATTAAAAGACATAGAGTGGCACAATGCATAAAAGATACTCATCAGTACATATTTATAAGGGAGTCACTTTAGATATAAAGATACATAGAGGCTCAAAGTGAAGGGATGGGAACAGACACTCTACACAAATGGTAACCAAAAAGGAGCAAGGGTATCTATACTTAGATCAGAAAAAATAGACTTGAAATCAAAAACTGTCACTAGAGACTAAGAAGGTCATTATGTAATGATAAAAGTTCGCTTCAACAGGAAGATTATGTATCCACCCAACATTAGAACACCTAAATATATAAAGTTAATATCAACAAAGCTAAGGGGAGAAATCAGTAACAATAAAAGAATAGTAGCTAACTTCAGTACCCCAAATGCAATAATGGATAGAACATCTAGGCAGGAAAAAAAAGAAAAAAAAGAGGAAACAGCTGACTTGAACAACATGGTACATTAAACACTGACATATACAGAACTTTCCATCCAACAGCATCAGAATATACATTCTTCTCAAGTGCACACAGAACATTCTCTGAGATAGATCAAATCTTAGGTCACAAGGCATCCTACAAATTTAAGAAGTTTGATATAATGCCAAGTATCTTCTCAGACCACAATGGAATAAAATTAGAAATCAATAACAAAGAAAACAGAAACATTTACAAAAATGCAGAAACTAAACAACACACTCTTGAACAACCATTGGGTAAAAGGAGAAATCAAAAGGGAATTTTAAAAGTATCTTGAGACAAACAAAAATGAACATACAACTCAACAAAACTTACAGGATGCAGCAAAAGAAGTGCTAAGAGGGAAATGTTATAGTGATAAACACCTACATTAAAAAATAAGAAAGATCTCAATTGAACAACCTAACTTTACAAATAAACAGTTAGAAAAAGAAGAACTAACTAAGCCCAAAGTTAGCATAATGAAGTAAATAATAAAGATTAGAATATAAATAAAATAACTTTAAAATAAAAAACAATATAAAAATCAACAAAGCTAGAGTTGTATTTTTGGAAATAAAAACAAAAATAACAAACCCCTAGCTACATTAAGAAAAAAAGAGAGACTCAAGTAAATATAATCAGAAATGAAAATGGAGACATTATAACAAATGTACAGGAATACAAATGATTATAAAGGACAATTAAGCAATTATATGCCAATAAATTGGATAACCTAGAAGAAATGGATAAATTCTTAGAAAGATGCAATCTACCAAGTTGGAACAAAAAAGAAATAGAACAGACCAAAAGCAAGCAAAGAGATTCAATCAGTAATAAAAAATTTCCCAACAAAGAAAAGCCCAGGTGCAGATGCTTTCATGGGCAACTTCTACCAAACAGTCAAAGAAGAACTAACACCAAAACTTCTTAAGCTCTTTAGAAAAAATAGAAGAGAGAATACTCCCAAACTCATTTCATGAGGCCAATGTTACCATGACTTAAAAGCTAGATGAAAACAACACAAGAAAAAATAATTACAGACCAGTATCCTTAATGAATATAGATGCAAAAATTCTCAATAAACTACTAATTGGAATTTATCTATGGGATGCAAGGATGGTTCAATGTGTAAAAATTAATAATGTGATATACCACATTAACAGAATGAAAGACAAAAATAACATTCCAATAGATGCAGAAAACACATTTGACAAAATTCAACATACTTTCATGATAAAACTCTCAACAAAATAGGTATAGAAGAAACTTACCTCAACACTATAAAGGCTGTATATGAAAAACCTGTATCTAATATAATAATCAATGGGGAAAAATGAAAGCTTTTTCTTTAATATCTGGAACAAGACAAGGATGCCTACTCTCACCACTCCTATTCAACATAGTACTGGAAGTCCTAGCCAGAGAAATCAGGCAAGAGAAATAAAAGGCATCAAAATTGAAAGGAAAGATGTAGTTATCTCTGTTAACAGAAGACATGATTATTATACATTGAAAACTCTAAAGACTCCACAGAAAATGGTTAGAAATAATTGGTTAGAAATAATACAGTCAGTCTTTCATATCTGCCAGGGATTTGTTTCAGGACCCCCTCAGATAACAAAATCTGTGATGATCAACTCCCTCATGTAAAATCATGTACAGTTGGCCCTGTGTATCCATGGGTCCACATCTGTGGATTCAAACCACCACAGATGGAAAATATGTACAAGTTTGGTTCATGGTTGGTTGAGTTCATGGTTGCAGAACCCATGAATATGAAGGACTGACTATATAATAAATTTATTAAAGTTGTAGGATATACAATAGACATACAAAAATCATTGCTATTTCTAAACACTAACAATGAATTGTCTGAAAGGGAAATTTAAAAAACAATATCAAATAAACTACTTTGGAATTAACTAACCAAAGAAGTGAAAGACTTAAACACTACAAATTACAAAAGATTGATGATGGAAATTTGAAGTAAATTGAAAGACAACCCATGGATTGAAAGAGTGAGTACTGTATTATTAAAGTGTCCATATTACTCAAAGCAATCTACACATTTAATGTAATCCATATCAAAATCCCAATGGTGTCTCTCGCAGAAATAGAAAAAATAATCCTAAAATTCATATAGAATCACAAAAAACCCTGAGTAGCCAAAGCAATTTTGAGCAAGAACAAAGCTACAGGTATCACACTTCCTGACTTCAAATTAAATTACAAAGCTGTAGAAAGGAAAACACTGTGGTACTGGCATAAAAACAGACACATAAACCAGTGGAACAAAATAGAGAACCTAGGTATAACCCACACATTTGCAGCAATTGATCACCCTGGAGGGTGACAAGGAGACACAATAGGGGGAGGATATGCTCTTGAACAAATGGTGTTAGGAAAGCTGGATGTCCACATGCAAAACAATGAAATCGGATCCCTAGCTCACATCATACATAAAAATTAACTCAAAATGGATTAAACATTTAAATGCAATACCTGAAACCATAAAACTCCTAGAAGAAGACAGGAGAAAACATTCTTGACATTGGTCTTGGCAATAATTTGTTTAGATATGATGCCAAAAGCACAGGCAACAAAGGCAAAATAGGTAAATGAATTACATCAAACTAAAAAGCTTCTGCACAGCAAAGAAAACAACTAATGAAATGATAAGGCAACCTATGAAATGGGGAAAAAGTTTGTAAACCATATCTCTTATAAGGAGTTCAAAAAATAAGGACACATACACATCAATTCCAAAATTACAAATAACCTAATTTTATTTTAAGGCAAAGAATCTAAATAAATATATCTCAAAAGAAGGAATTCAAATGGCTAACAGGTATATGAAAATGTGCTCAACATCTCTAAACTTCAGAGAAATGCAAATCAAAACCACAATGAGATATCAGGTCACACCTGTCAAAATGGCTATTATCAAAAAGGCCAAAGATAAGTGTTGGTGAGAATGTGGAGAAAAGGAAACCCTTATACACTATTGATGGGAATGCAAATTAGTAAAACACAGAAAACAGTATTGAGGTTCCTCCAAAGAAAATTGAAACTAGCACTGGCCTGGTGTGGTGGCTCACACCTGTAACCCCAGGATTTGGGGAAGCTAAGGCAGGAGTCCAGGAGCTCCAGACCAGCCTGGGTAACATAGCAAGACCCCATCTCTGAAAAAATTTAAAATTAGCCAGACATGGTGTTGTACACCTGTAGTCCCAGCTACTTGGGAGGCTGAGGTAGGAG